>NC_000023.11:59872086-60041591 GCF_000001405.40 Homo sapiens
ACCTGCCTTTGAGAGTTCATGTTCGAAACACTCTTTCTGTAGAATCTGCAAGTGGATATTTGGACCACTGGCTGGCCTTCGTTCGAAACGGGTATATGTTCACGTAAAAACTAAAGAGAAGCATTCTCAGAAACTTCTGAGTGATGATTGCATTCAAGTCACACAGTTGAACCCTCCTTTTGATGGAGCAGTTTTGAAACTGTCTTTTTGTAGAATCTGTAAGTGGATACGTGGATCTCTTTGAAGATTTCTTTGGAAACGGGAATATTTCCACAGAAAAACTAAACTGAAGCATTCTCAGAAACCGCTTTGTGATGTTTGTGTTCGAGCCACAGAGTTTAACATTGCTTTTCATAGAGCAGTTTTGAAATATTCTTTTGGCAGAATCTGCAAGTGGACATTTGGAGCGCTTTCAGGCCTGTGGTGGAAAAGGCCTGAAAGCCTTTTCCTTTATCTTCACAGAAAGACGAGAGAGAAGCATTGTCAGAAACTTCTTTGGGATGATTGCATTCAACTCACAGAGTTGAAGATTCCTTTTGAAACAGCAGTTTCGAAACACTCTTTCTGTGGGATCCGCAAGGGGATATTTGGACCTCTTTGAAGGTTTCGTTGGAAACGGGATAATCTTCACCTAAAAGCTAAACGGAAGCATTCTCAGAAACTTCTTTGGGATGTTTGCATTCACCTCACAGAGTTGAACTTTCCCTTTGATAGCGCAGCTTTGACACACTTTTTCTACAATGTGCAAGTGGCTATTTAGCGGGCTTGGAGGACTGTGTTGGAAAAGGAAATATCTTCTCCTAAAAACGACATAGAAGCATTCTCAGAAACTGCTCTGTGATGATTGCATTCAACTCCCAGAGTTGAACATTCCTTTTGATAGAGCAGTTTGCAAACACTCTTTTTGTAGAATCTGCAAGTGGAGATTTGGACCGCTTTGAGGCCTGTGGTAGTGAAGGAAAGAACTTCATATAAAAACCAGACGGTAGCACTCTCAGAAAATTCTTTGTGACGATGGAGTTTAACTCAGGGAGCTGAACATTCGTTATGATGGAGCAGTTTCCAAACACACGTTTTGTAGAATCTGCGAGGGGATATTTGGACCTCTCTGAGGATTTCGTTGGAAACGGGATCAACTTCCCATAACTGAACGGAAGCAAACTCAGAACATTCTTTGTGATGTTTGTATTCAATTCACAGAGTTGAACCTTCCTTTGATAGTTCAGGTTTGCAACACCCTTGTAGTAGAATCTGCAAGTGTATATTTTGACCATGTTGTAGCCTTCGTTTGAAACGTCTATATCTTCACATCAAACCTAGACAGAAGCATTCTCAGAAAGTTTTCTGCGATGACTGCATTCAACTCACAGAGTTGAACAATCCTTCTGATGGAGCAGTTTTGAAACCCTCTTTCTTTGGAATCTGCAAGGGGATATGTGGACCTCTTTGAAGATTTCACTGGAAACGGGATCATCTTCACATAAAAACTAAACAGAAGCATTCTCGGAAACTATTTTGTGATGTTTGCATTCAACTCCCAGAGTTGAACTTTCCTTTTGAAAGAGCAGCTATGAAACACTCTTTTTCGAGAATCTGCAAGTGGACGTTTGGAGGGCTTTGAGGCCTGTGGTGGAAAAGGAAATATCTTCACACAAAAACCAGATAGAAGCATTCTCAGAAACTACTTTGTGAGGATGGCATTCAAATCATGGAGTTGAACAATCCTATTGATAGAGCAGATTGGAATCACTCTTTTTATAGAATCTGCAAATGGAGATTTGGACTGCTTTGAGGCCTACGGTAGTACAGGAAGGAACTTCATATAAAAGGCAAACGGAAGCATTCTCAGAATATTCTTTGTGATGATGGAGTTTCACTCACAGAGCTGAACATGCCTTTTGATGGAGCAGTTTCCAAATACACTTTTGGTAGAATCTGCAGGTGGATATTTGGAGCTCTCTGAGGATTTCGTTGGAAACGGGAATAATTTCCCATAACTAAACACAAACACTCTGAGAAAGTTCTTCATGATGAATGCATTTAACTCGCAGAGATGAACCTGCCTTTGAGAGTTCAGGTTCGAAACACTCTTTCTGTATAATCTGCAAGTGGATATTTGGACCACTGGGTGGCCTTCGTTCGAAACGGGTATATGTTCACGTAAAAACTAAAGAGAAGCATTCTCAGAAACTTCTGAGTGATGATTGCATTCAAGTCACACAGTTGAACCCTCCTTTTGATGGAGCAGTTTTGAAACTGTCTTTTTGTAGAATCTGTAAGTGGATACGTGGACCTCTTTGAAGATTTCTTTGGAAACGGGAATATTTCCACAGAAAAACTAAACTGAAACATTCTCAGAAACCGCTTTGTGATGTTTGTGTTCCAGCCACAGAGTTTAACATTGCTTTTCATAGAGCAGTTTTGAAATATTCTTTTGGCAGAATCTGCAAGTGGACATTTGGAGCGCTTTCAGGCCTGTGGTGGAAAAGGCCTGAAAGCCTTTTCCTTTATCTTCACAGAAAGACGAGAGAGAAGCATTGTCAGAAACTTCTTTGTGATGATTGCATTCAACTCACAGAGTTGAAGATTCCTTTTGAAACAGCAGTTTCGAAACACTCTTTCTGTGGGATCCGCAAGGGGATATTTGGACCTCTTTGAAGGTTTCGTTGGAAACGGGATAATCTTCACCTAAAAGCTAAACGGAAGCATTCTCAGAAACTTCTTTGGGATGTTTGCATTCACCTCACAGAGTTGAAATTTCCCTTTGATAGCGCAGCTTTGACACACTTTTTCTACAATGTGCAAGTGGCTATTTAGCGGGCTTGGAGGACTGTGTTGGAAAAGGAAATATCTTCTCCTAAAAACGACATAGAAGCATTCTCAGAAACTGCTCTGTGATGATTGCATTCAACTCCCAGAGTTGAACATTCCTTTTGATAGAGCAGTTTGCAAACACTCTTTTTGTAGAATCTGCAAGTGGAGATTTGGACCGCTTTGAGGCCTGTGGTAGTGAAGGAAAAAACTTCATATAAAAACCAGACGGTAGCACTCTCAGAAAATTCTTTGTGACGATGGAGTTTAACTCAGAGAGCTGAACATTCGTTATGATGGAGCAGTTTCCAAACACACGTTTTGTAGAATCTGTGAGGGGATATTTGGACCTCTCTGAGGATTTCGTTGGAAACGGGATCAACTTCCCATAACTGAACGGAAGCAAACTCAGAACATTCTTTGTGATGTTTGTATTCAACTCACAGAGTTGAACCTTCCTTTGATAGTTCAGGTTTGCAACACTCTTGTAGTAGAATCTGCAAGTGTATATTTTGACCACTTTGTAGCCTTCGTTTGAAACGTCTATATCTTCACATCAAACCTAGACAGAAGCATTCTCAGAAAGTTTTCTGCGATGACTGCATTCAACTCACAGAGTTGAACAATCCTTCTGATGGAGCAGTTTTGAAACCCTCTTTCTTTGGAATCTGCAAGGGGATATGTGGACCTCTTTGAAGCTTTCACTGGAAACGGGATCATCTTCACATAAAAACTAAACAGAAGCATTCTCGGAAACTATTTTGTGATGTTTGTATTCAACTCCCAGAGTTGAACTTTCCTTTTGAAAGAGCAGCTATGAAACACTCTTTTTCGAGAATCTGCAAGTGGACGTTTGGAGGGCTTTGAGGCCTGTGGTGGAAAAGGAAATATCTTCACACAAAAACCAGATAGAAGCATTCTCAGAAACTGCTTTGTGAGGATGGCATTCAACTCATGGAGTTGAACAATCCTATTGATAGAGCAGATTGGAATCACTCTTTTTGTAGAATCTGCAAATGGAGATTTGGACTGCTTTGAGGCCTACAGTAGTACAGGAAGGAACTTCATATAAAAGGCAAACGGAAGCATTCTCAGAATATTCTTTGTGATGATGGAGTTTCACTCACAGAGCTGAACATGCCTTTTGATGGAGCAGTTTCCAAATACACTTTTGGTAGAATCTGCAGGTGGATATTTGGAGCTCTCTGAGGATTTCGTTGGAAACGGGAATAATTTCCCATAACTAAACACAAACACTCTGAGAAAGTTCTTCATGATGAATGCATTGAACTCGCAGAGATGAACCTGCCTTTGAGAGTTCAGGTTCGAAACACTCTTTCTGTAGAATCTGCAAGTGGATATTTGGACCACTGGCTGGCCTTCGTTCGAAACGGGTATATGTTCACGTAAAAACTAAAGAGAAGCGTTCTCATAAACTTCTGAGTGATGATTGCATTCAAGTCACACAGTTGAACCCTCCTTTTGATTGAGCAGTTTTGAAACTGTCTTTTTGTAGAATCTGTAAGTGGATGCGTGGACCTCTTTGAAGATTTCTTTGGAAACGGGAATATTTCCACAGAAAAACTAAACTGAAGCATTCTCAGAAACTGCTTTGTGATGTTTGTGTTCGAGCCACAGAGTTTAACATTGCTTTTCATAGAGCAGTTTTGAACTATTCTTTTGGCAGAATCTGCAAGTGGACATTTGGAGCGCTTTCAGGCCTGTGGTGGAAAAGGCCTGAAAGCCTTTTCCTTTATCTTCACAGAAAGACGAGAGAGAAGCATTGTCAGAAACTTCTTTGTGATGATTGCATTCAACTCACAGAGTTGAAGATTCCTTTTGAAACAGCAGTTTCGAAACACTCTTTCTGTGGGATCCGCAAGGGGATATTTGGACCTCTTTGAAGATTTCGTTGGAAACGGGATAATCTTCACCTAAAAGCTAAACGGAAGCATTCTCAGAAACTTCTTTGGGATGTTTGCATTCACCTCACAGAGTTGAACTTTCCCTTTGATAGCGCAGCTTCGACACACTTTTTCTACAATGTGCAAGTGGATATTTAGCGGGCTTGGAGGACTGTGTTGGAAAAGGAAATATCTTCTCCTAAAAACGACATAGAAGCATTCTCAGAAACTGCTCTGTGATGATTGCATTCAACTCCCAGAGTTGAACATTCCTTTTGATAGAGCAGTTTGCAAACACTCTTTTTGTAGAATCTGCAAGTGGAGATTTGGACCGCTTTGAGGCCTGTGGTAGTAAAGGAAAGAACTTCATATAAAAACTAGACGGTAGCACCCTCAGAAAATTCTTTGTGACGATGGAGTTTAACTCAGAGAGCTGAACATTCGTTATGATGGAGCAGTTTCCAAACACACGTTTTGTAGAATCTGCAAGGGGATATTTGGACCTCTCTGAGGATTTCGTTGGAAACGGGATCAACTTCCCATAACTGAACGGAAGCAAACTCAGAACATTCTTTGTGATGTTTGTATTCAACTCACAGAGTTGAACCTTCCTTTGATAGTTCAGGTTTGCATCACCCTTGTAGTAGAATCTGCAAGTGTATATTTTGAACACTTTGTAGCCTTCGTTTGAAACGTCTATATCTTCACATCAAACCTAGACAGAAGCATTCTCAGAAAGTTTTCTGCGATGACTGCATTCCACTCACAGAGTTGAACAATCCTTTTGATGGAGCAGTTTTGAAACCCTCTTTCTTTGGAATCTGCAAGGGGATATGTGGACCTCTTTGAAGATTTCACTGGAAACGGGATCATCTTCACATAAGAACTAAACAGAAGCATTCTCGGAAACTACTTTGTGATGTTTGTATTCAACTACCAGAGGTGAACTTTCCTTTTGAAAGAGCAGCTATGAAACACTCTTTTTCGAGAATCTGCAAGTGGACGTTTGGAGGGCTTTGAGGCCTGTGGTGGAAAAGGAAATATCTTCACATAAAAACTAGATAGAAGCATTCTCAGAAACGACTTTGTGAGGATGGCATTCAACTCATGGAGTTGAACAATCCTATTGATAGAGCAGATTGGAATCACTCTTTTTGTAGAATCTGCAAATGAAGATTTGGACTGCTTTGAGGCCTACGGTAGTATAGGAAGGATCTTCATATAAAAGGCAAACGGAAGCATTCTCAGAATATTCTTTGTGATGATGGAGTTTCACTCACAGAGCTGAACATGCCTTTTGATGGAGCAGTTTCCAAATACACTTTTGGTAGAATCTGCAGGTGGATATTTGGACCTCTCTGAGGATTTCGTTGGAAACGGGAATAATTTCCCATAACTAAACACAAACACGCTGAGAAAGTTCTTCATGATGAATGCATTGAACTCGCAGAGATGAACCTGCCTTTGAGAGTTCAGGTTCGAAACACTCTTTCTGTAGAATCTGCAAGTGGATATTTGGACCACTGGCTGGCCTTCGTTCGAAACGGGTATATGTTCACGTAAAAACTAAAGAGAAGCGTTCTCAGAAACTTCTGAGTGATGATTGCATTCAAGTCACACAGTTGAACCCTCCTTTTGATTGAGCAGTTTTGAAACTGTCTTTTTGTAGAATCTGTAAGTGGATGCGTGGACCTCTTTGAAGATTTCTTTGGAAACGGGAATATTTCCACAGAAAAACTAAACTGAAGCATTCTCAGAAACTGCTTTGTGATGTTTGTGTTCGAGCCACAGAGTTTAACATTGCTTTTCATAGAGCAGTTTTGAACTATTCTTTTGGCAGAATCTGCAAGTGGACATTTGGAGCGCTTTCAGGCCTGTGGTGGAAAAGGCCTGAAAGCCTTTTCCTTTATCTTCACAGAAAGACGAGAGAGAAGCATTGTCAGAAACTTCTTTGTGATGATTGCATTCAACTCACAGCAGTTGAAGATTCCTTTTGAAACAGCAGTTTCAAAACACTCTTTCTGTGGGATCCGCAAGGGGATATTTGGACCTCTTTGAAGGTTTCGTTGGAAACGGGATAATCTTCACCTAAAAGCTAAACGGAAGCATTCTCAGAAACTTCTTTGGGATGTTTGCATTCACCTCACAGAGTTGAACTTTCCCTTTGATAGCGCAGCTTCGACACACTTTTTCTAAAGTGTGCAAGTGGACCTTTAGCGGGCTTGGAGGACTGTGTTGGAAAAGGAAATATCTTCTCCTAAAAACGACATAGAAGC
The DNA here is from genome assembly GCF_000001405.40 of Homo sapiens. Taxonomy (NCBI): domain Eukaryota; kingdom Metazoa; phylum Chordata; class Mammalia; order Primates; family Hominidae; genus Homo; species Homo sapiens. The sequence goes on from NC_000023.11 coordinate 59,879,078, forward strand.
ATTCTCAGAAACTGCTCTGTGATGATTGCATTCAACTCCCAGAGTTGAACATTCCTTTTGATAGAGCAGTTTGCAAACACTGTTTTTGTAGAATCTGCAAGTGGAGATTTGGACCGCTTTGAGGCCTGTGGTAGTAAAGGAAAGAACTTCATATAAAAACCAGACGGTAGCACTCTCAGTAAAATTCTTTGTGACGATAGAGTTTAACTCAGAGAGCTGAACATTCGTTATGATGGAGCAGTTTCCAAACACACATTTTGTAGAATCTGCAAAGGGATATTTGGACCTCTCTGAGGATTTCGTTGGAAATGGGATCAACTTCCCATAACTGAACGGAAGCAAACTCAGAACATTCTTTGTGATGTTTGTATTCAACTCACAGAGTTGAACCTTCCTTTGATAGTTCAGGTTTGCAACACCCTTGTAGTAGAATCTGCAAGTGTATATTTTGACCACTTTGTAGCCTTCGTTTGAAACGTCTATATCTTCACATCAAACCTAGAAAGAAGCATTCTCAGAAAGTTTTCTGCGATGACTGCATTCAACTCACAGAGTTGAACAATCCTTCTGATGGAGCAGTTTTGAAACCCTCTTTCTTTGGAATCTGCAAGGGGATATGTGGACCTCTTTGAAGATTTCACTGGAAACGGGATCATCTTCACATAAAAACTAAACAGAAGCATTCTCGGAAACTACTTTGTGATGTTTGTATTCAACTCCCAGAGTTGAACTTTCCTTTTGAAAGAGCAGCTATGAAACACTCTTTTTCGAGAATCTGCAAGTGGACGTTTGGAGGGCTTTGAGGCCTGTGGTGGAAAAGGAAATATCTTCACATAAAAACTAGATAGAAAGCATTCTCAGAAACGACTTTGTGAGGATGGCATTCAACTCATGGAGTTGAACAATCCTATTGATAGAGCAGATTGGAATCACTCTTTTTGTAGAATCTGCAAATGGAGATTTGGACTGCTTTGAGGCCTACGGTCGTATAGGAAGGAACTTCAGATAAAAGGCAAACGGAAGCATTCTCAGAATATTCTTTGTGATGATGGAGTTTCACTCACAGAGCTGAACATGCCTTTTGATGGAGCAGTTTCCAAATACACTTTTGGTAGAATCTGCAGGTGGATATTTGGAGCTCTCTGAGGATTTCATTGGAAAAGGGAATAATTTCCCATAACTAAACACAAACACGCTGAGAAAGTTCTTCATGATGAATGCATTTAACTCGCAGAGATGAACCTGCCTTTGAGAGTTCAGGTTCGAAACACTCTTTCTGTAGAATCTGCAAGTGGATATTTGGACCACTGGGTGGCCTTCGTTCGAAACGGGTATATGTTCACGTAAAAACTAAAGAGAAGCATTCTCAGAAACTTCTGAGTGATGATTGCATTCAAGTCACACAGTTGAACCCTCCTTTTGATGGAGCAGTTTTGAAACTGTCTTTTTGTAGAATCTGTAAGTGGATACGTGGACCTCTTTGAAGATTTCTTTGGAAACGGGAATATTTCCACAGAAAAACTAAACTGAAGCATTCTCAGAAACCGCTTTGTGATGTTTGTGTTCGAGCCACAGAGTTTAACATTGCTTTTCATAGAGCAGTTTTGAAATATTCTTTTCGCAGAATCTGCAAGTGGACATTTGGAGCGCTTTCAGGCCTGTGGTGGAAAAGGCCTGAAAGCCTTTTCCTTTATCTTCACAGAAAGACGAGAGAGAAGCATTGTCAGAAACTTCTTTGTGATGATTGCATTCAACTCACAGAGTTGAAGATTCCTTTTGAAACAGCAGTTTCGAAACACTCTTTCTGTGGGATCCGCAAGGGGATATTTGGACCTCTTTGAAGGTTTCGTTGGAAACGGGATAATCTTCACCTAAAAGCTAAACGGAAGCATTCTCAGAAACTTCTTTGGGATGTTTGCATTCACCTCACAGAGTTGAACTTTCCCTTTGATAGCGCAGCTTTGACACACTTTTTCTACAATGTGCAAGTGGCTATTTAGCGGGCTTGGAGGACTGTGTTGGAAAAGGAAATATCTTCTCCTAAAAACGACATAGAAGCATTCTCAGAAACTGCTCTGTGATGATTGCATTCAACTCCCAGAGTTGAACATTCCTTTTGATAGAGCAGTTTGCAAACACTCTTTTTGTAGAATCTGCAAGTGGAGATTTGGACCGCTTTGAGGCCTGTGGTAGTGAAGGAAAGAACTTCATATAAAAACCAGACGGTAGCACTCTCAGAAAATTCTTTGTGACGATGGAGTTTAACTCAGGGAGCTGAACATTCGTTATGATGGAGCAGTTTCCAAACACACGTTTTGTAGAATCTGCGAGGGGATATTTGGACCTCTCTGAGGATTTCGTTGGAAACGGGATCAACTTCCCATAACTGAACGGAAGCAAACTCAGAACATTCTTTGTGATGTTTGTATTCAACTCACAGAGTTGAACCTTCCTTTGATAGTTCAGGTTTGCAACACCCTTGTAGTAGAATCTGCAAGTGTATATTTTGACCACTTTGTAGCCTTCATTTGAAACGTCTATATCTTCACAGCAAACCTAGACAGAAGCATTCTCAGAAAGTTTTCTGCGATGACTGCATTCAACTCACAGAGTTGAACAATCCTTCTGATGGAGCAGTTTTGAAACCCTCTTTCTTTGGAATCTGCAAGGGGATATGTGGACCTCTTTGAAGATTTCACTGGAAACGGGATCATCTTCACATAAAAACTAAACAGAAGCATTCTCGGAAACTACTTTGTGATGTTTGTATTCAACTCCCAGAGTTGAACTTTCCTTTTGAAAGAGCAGCTATGAAACACTCTTTTTCGAGAATCTGCAAGTGGACGTTTGGAGGGCTTGGAGGCCTGTGGTGGAAAAGGAAATACCTTCACATAAAAACTAGATAGAAGCATTCTCAGAAACTACTTTGTGAGGATGGCATTCAACTCATGGAGTTGAACAATCCTATTGATAGAGCAGATTGGAATCACTCTTTTTGTAGAATCTGCAAATGGAGATTTGGACTGCTTTGAGGCCTACGGTCGTATAGGAAGGAACTTCAGATAAAAGGCAAACGGAAGCATTCTCAGAATATTCTTTGTGATGATGGAGTTTCACTCACAGAGCTGAACATGCCTTTTGATGGAGCAGTTTCCAAATACACTTTTGGTAGAATCTGCAGGTGGATATTTGGACCTCTCTGAGGATTTCGTTGGAAACGGGAATAATTTCCCATAACTAAACACAAACACTCTGAGAAAGTTCTTCATGATGAATGCATTTAACTCGCAGAGATGAACCTGCCTTTGAGAGTTCAGGTTCGAAACACTCTTTCTGTATAATCTGCAAGTGGATATTTGGACCACTGGGTGGCCTTCGTTCGAAACGGGTATATGTTCACGTAAAAACTAAAGAGAAGCATTCTCAGAAACTTCTGAGTGATGATTGCATTCAAGTCACACGGTTGAACCCTCCTTTTGATGGAGAAGTTTTGAAACTGTCTTTTTGTAGAATCTGTAAGTGGATACGTGGACCTCTTTGAAGATTTCTTTGGAAACGGGAATATTTCCACAGAAAAACTAAACTGAAGCATTCTCAGAAACCGCTTTGTGATGTTTGTGTTCGAGCCACAGAGTTTAACATTGCTTTTCATAGAGCAGTTTTGAAATATTCTTTTCGCAGAATCTGCAAGTGGACATTTGGAGCGCTTTCAGGCCTGTGGTGGCAAAGGCCTGAAAGCCTTTTCCTTTATCTTCACAGAAAGACGAGAGAGAAGCATTGTCAGAAACTTCTTTGTGATGATTGCATTCAACTCACAGAGTTGAAGATTCCTTTTGAAACAGCAGTTTCGAAACACTCTTTCTGTGGGATCCGCAAGGGGATATTTGGACCTCTTTGAAGGTTTCGTTGGAAACGGGATAATCTTCACCTAAAAGCTAAACGGAAGCATTCTCAGAAACTTCTTTGGGATGTTTGCATTCACCTCACAGAGTTGAACTTTCCCTTTGATAGCGCAGCTTTGACACACTTTTTCTACAATGTGCAAGTGGCTATTTAGCGGGCTTGGAGGACTGTGTTGGAAAAGGAAATATCTTCTAAAAACGACATAGAAGCATTCTCAGAAACTGCTCTGTGATGATTGCATTCAACTCCCAGAGTTGAACATTCCTTTTGATAGAGCAGTTTGCAAACACTCTTTTTGTAGAATCTGCAAGTGGAGATTTGGACCGCTTTGAGGCCTGTGGTAGTGAAGGAAAGAACTTCATATAAAAACCAGACGGTAGCACTCTCAGAAAATTCTTTGTGACGATGGAGTTTAACTCAGGGAGCTGAACATTCGTTATGATGGAGCAGTTTCCAAACACACGTTTTGTAGAATCTGCGAGGGGATATTTGGACCTCTCTGAGGATTTCGTTGGAAAAGGGATCAACTTCCCATAAATGAACGGAAGCAAACTCAGAACATTCTTTGTGATGTTTGTATTCAACTCACAGAGTTGAACCTTCCTTTGATAGTTCAGGTTTGCATCACCCTTGTAGTAGAATCTGCAAGTGTATATTTTGACCACTTTGTAGCCTTCGTTTGAAACGTCTATATCTTCACATCAAACCTAGACAGAAGCATTCTCAGAAAGTTTTCTGCGATGACTGCATTCAACTCACAGAGTTGAACAATCCTTTTGATGGAGCAGTTTTGAAACCCTCTTTCTTTGGAATCTGCAAGGGGATATGTGGACCTCTTTGAAGATTTCACTGGAAACGGGATCATCTTCACATAATAACTAAACAGAAGCAATCTCGGAAGCTATTTTGTGATGTTTGTATTCAACTCCCAGAGTTGAACTTTCCTTTTGAAAGAGCAGCTATGAAACACTCTTTTTCGAGAATCTGCAAGTGGACGTTTGGAGGGCTTTGAGGCCTGTGGTGGAAAAGGAAATATCTTCACACAAAAACCAGATAGAAGCATTCTCAGAAACTACTTTGTGAGGATGGCATTCAACTCATGGAGTTGAACAATCCTATTGATAGAGCAGATTGGAATCACTCTTTTGTAGAATCTGCAAATGGAGATTTGGACTGCTTTGAGGCCTACGGTCGTATAGGAAGGAACTTCATATAAAAGGCAAACGGAAGCATTCTCAGAATATTCTTTGTGATGATGGAGTTTCACTCACAGAGCTGAACATGCCTTTTGATGGAGCAGTTTCCAAATACACTTTTGGTAGAATCTGCAGGTGGATATTTGGAGCTCTCTGAGGATTTCGTTGGAAACGGGAACAATTCCCCATAACTAAACACAAACACTCTGAGAAAGTTCTTCATGATGAATGCATTTAACTCGCAGAGATGAACCTGCCTTTGAGAGTTCAGGTTCGAAACACTCTTTCTGTATAATCTGCAAGTGGATATTTGGACCACTGGGTGGCCTTCGTTCGAAACGGGTATATGTTCACGTAAAAACTAAAGAGAAGCATTCTCAGAAACTTCTGAGTGATGATTGCATTCAAGTCACACAGTTGAACCCTCCTTTTGATGGAGCAGTTTTGAAACTGTCTTTTTGTAGAATCTGTAAGTGGATGCGTGGACCTCTTTGAAGATTTCTTTGGAAACGGGAATATTTCCACAGAAAAACTAAACTGAAGCATTCTCAGAAACCGCTTTGTGATGTTTGTGTTCGAGCCACAGAGTTTAACATTGCTTTTCATAGAGCAGTTTTGAAATATTCTTTTCGCAGAATCTGCAAGTGGACATTTGGAGCGCTTTCAGGCCTGTGGGTGGAAAAGGCCTGAAAGCCTTTTCCTTTATCTTCACAGAAAGACGAGAGAGAAGCATTGTCAGAAACTTCTTTGTGATGATTGCATTCAACTCACAGAGTTGAAGATTCCTTTTGAAACAGCAGTTTCGAAACACTCTTTCTGTGGGATCCGCAAGGGGATATTTGGACCTCTTTGAAGGTTTCGTTGGAAACGGGATAATCTTCACCTAAAAGCTAAACGGAAGCACTCTCAGAAACTTCTTTGGGATGTTTGCATTCACCTCTCAGAGTTGAACTTTCCCTTTGATAGCGCAGCTTTGACACACTTTTTCTACAATGTGCAAGTGGCTATTTAGCGGGCTTGGAGGACTGTGTTGGAAAAGGAAATATCTTCTCCTAAAAACGACATAGAAGCATTCTCAGAAACTGCTCTGTGATGATTGCATTCAACTCCCAGAGTTGAACATTCCTTTTGATAGAGCAGTTTGCAAACACTCTTTTTGTAGAATCTGCAAGTGGAGATTTGGACCGCTTTGAGGACTAGGGTAGTAAAGGAAAGAGCTTCATATAAAAACCAGACGGTAGCACTCTCAGAAAATTCTTTGTGACGATGGAGTTTAACTCAGGGAGCTGAACATTCGTTATGATGGAGCAGTTTCCAAACACACGTTTTGTAGAATCTGCAAGGGGATATTTGGACCTCTCTGAGGATTTCGTTGGAAACGGGATCAACTTCCCATAACTGAACGGAAGCAAACTCAGAACATTCTTTGTGATGTTTGTATTCAATTCACAGAGTTGAACCTTCCTTTGATAGTTCAGGTTTGCAACACCCTTGTAGTAGAATCTGCAAGTGTATATTTTGACCACTTTGTAGCCTTCGTTTGAAACGTCTATATCTTCACATCAAACCTAGACAGAAGCATTCTCAGAAAGTTTTCTGCGATGACTGCATTCAACTCACAGAGTTGAACAATCCTTCTGATGGAGCAGTTTTGAAACCCTCTTTCTTTGGAATCTGCAAGGGGATATGTGGACCTCTTTGAAGATTTCACTGGAAACGGGATCATCTTCACATAGAAACTAAACAGAAGCATTCTCGGAAACTATTTTGTGATGTTTGTATTCAACTCCCAGAGTTGAACTTTCCTTTTGAAAGAGCAGCTATGAAACACTCTTTTTCGAGAATCTGCAAGTGGACGTTTGGAGGGCTTTGAGGCCTGTGGTGGAAAAGGAAATATCTTCACACAAAAACCAGATAGAAGCATTCTCAGAAACTGCTTTGTGAGGATGGCATTCAACTCATGGAGTTGAACAATCCTTTTGATAGAGCAGATTGGAATCACTCTTTTTGTAGAATCTGCAAATGGAGATTTGGACTGCTTTGAGGCCTACGGTAGTACAGGAAGGAACTTCATATAAAAGGCAAACGGAAGCATTCTCAGAATATTCTTTGTGATGATGGAGTTTCACTCACAGAGCTGAACATGCCTTTTGATGGAGCAGTTTCCAAATACACTTTTGGTAGAATCTGCAGGTGGATATTTGGAGCTCTCTGAGGATTTCGTTGGAAACGGGAATAATTTCCCATAACTAAACACAAACACTCTGAGAAAGTTCTTCATGATGAATGCATTTAACTCGCAGAGATGAACCTGCCTTTGAGAGTTCAGGTTCGAAACACTCTTTCTGTAGAATCTGCAAGTGGATATTTGGACCACTGGCTGGCCTTCGTTCGAAACGGGTATATGTTCACGTAAAAACTAAAGAGAAGCATTCTCAGAAACTTCTGAGTGATGATTGCATTCAAGTCACACGGTTGAACCCTCCTTTTGATGGAGCAGTTTTGAAACTGTCTTTTTGTAGAATCTGTAAGTGGATACGTGGACCTCTTTGAAGATTTCTTTGGAAACGGGAATATTTCCACAGAAAAACTAAACTGAAGCATTCTCAGAAACCGCTTTGTGATGTTTGTGTTCGAGCCACAGAGTTTAACATTGCTTTTCACAGAGCAGTTTTGAAATATTCTTTTCGCAGAATCTGCAAGTGGACATTTGGAGCGCTTTCAGGCCTGTGGTGGAAAAGGCCTGAAAGCCTTTTCCTTTATCTTCACAGAAAGACGAGAGAGAAGCATTGTCAGAAACTTCTTTGTGATGATTGCATTCAACTCACAGAGTTGAAGATTCCTTTTGAAACAGCAGTTTCGAAACACTCTTTCTGTGGGATCCGCAAGGGGATATTTGGACCTCTTTGAAGGTTTCGTTGGAAACGGGATAATCTTCACCTAAAAGCTAAACGGAAGCACTCTCAGAAACTTCTTTGGGATGTTTGCATTCACCTCTCAGAGTTGAACTTTCCCTTTGATAGCGCAGCTTTGACACACTTTTTCTACAATGTGCAAGTGGCTATTTAGCGGGCTTGGAGGACTGTGTTGGAAAAGGAAATATCTTCTCCTAAAAACGACATAGAAGCATTCTCAGAAACTGCTCTGTGATGATTGCATTCAACTCCCAGAGTTGAACATTCCTTTTGATAGAGCAGTTTGCAAACACTCTTTTTGTAGAATCTGCAAGTGGAGATTTGGACCGCTTTGAGGACTGGGGTAGTAAAGGAAAAAGCTTCATATAAAAACCAGACGGTAGCACTCTCAGAAAATTCTTTGTGACGATGGAGTTTAACTCAGGGAGCTGAACATTCGTTATGATGGAGCAGTTTCCAAACACACGTTTTGTAGAATCTGCAAGGGGATATTTGGACCTCTCTGAGGATTTCGTTGGAAACGGGATCAACTTCCCATAACTGAACGGAAGCAAACTCAGAACATTCTTTGTGATGTTTGTATTCAACTCCCAGAGTTGAACTTTCCTTTTGAAAGAGCAGCTATGAAACACTCTTTTTCGAGAATCTGCAAGTGGACGTTTGGAGGGCTTTGAGGCCTGTGGTGGAAAAGGAAATATCTTCACACAAAAACCAGATAGAAGCATTCTCAGAAACTACTTTGTGAGGATGGCATTCAACTCATGGAGTTGAACAATCCTATTGATAGAGCAGATTGGAATCACTCTTTTTGTAGAATCTGCAAATGGAGATTTGGACTGCTTTGAGGCCTACGGTAGTACAGGAAGGAACTTCATATAAAAGGCAAACGGAAGCATTCTCAGAATATTCTTTGTGATGATGGAGTTTCACTCACAGAGCTGAACATGCCTTTTGATGGAGCAGATTCCAAATACACTTTTGGTAGAATCTGCAGGTGGATATTTGGACCACTCTGAGGATTTCGTTGGAAACGGGAATAATTTCCCATAACTAAACACAAACACTCTGAGAAAGTTCTTCATGATGAATGCATTTAACTCGCAGAGATGAACCTGCCTTTGAGAGTTCAGGTTCGAAACACTCTTTCTGTAGAATCTGCAAGTGGATATTTGGACCACTGGGTGGCGTTCGTTCGAAACGGGTATATGTTCACGTAAAAACTAAAGAGAAGCATTCTCAGAAACTTCTGAGTGATGATTGCATTCAAGTCACACGGTTGAACCCTCCTTTTGATGGAGCAGTTTTGAAACTGTCTTTTTGTAGAATCTGTAAGTGGATACGTGGACCTCTTTGAAGATTTCTTTGGAAACGGGAATATTTCCACAGAAAAACTAAACTGAAGCATTCTCAGAAACTGCTTTGTGATGTTTGTGTTCGAGCCACAGAGTTTAACATTGCTTTTCATAGAGCAGTTTTGAAATATTCTTTTCGCAGAATCTGCAAGTGGACATTTGGAGCGCTTTCAGGCCTGTGGTGGAAAAGGCCTGAAAGCCTTTTCCTTTATCTTCACAGAAAGACGAGAGAGAAGCATTGTCAGAAACTTCTTTGTGATGATTGCATTCAACTCACAGAGTTGAAGATTCCTTTTGAAACAGCAGTTTCGAAACACTCTTTCTGTGGGATCCGCAAGGGGATATTTGGACCTCTTTGAAGGTTTCGTTGGAAACGGGATAATCTTCACCTAAAAGCTAAACGGAAGCATTCTCAGAAACTTCTTTGGGATGTTTGCATTCACCTGACAGAGTTGAACTTTCCCTTTGATAGCGCAGCTTTGACACACTTTTTCTACAATGTGCAAGTGGCTATTTAGCGGGCTTGGAGGACTGTGTTGGAAAAGGAAATATCTTCTCCTAAAAACGACATAGAAGCATTCTCAGAAACTGCTCTGTGATGATTGCATTCAACTCCCAGAGTTGAACATTCCTTTTGATAGAGCAGTTTGCAAACACTCTTTTTGTAGAATCTGCAAGTGGAGATTTGGACCGCTTTGAGGCCTGTGGTAGTGAAGGAAAGAACTTCATATAAAAACCAGACGGTAGCACTCTCAGAAAATTCTTTGTGACGATGGAGTTTAACTCAGGGAGCTGAACATTCGTTATGATGGAGCAGTTTCCAAACACACGTTTTGTAGAATCTGCGAGGGGATATTTGGACCTCTCTGAGGATTTCGTTGGAAACGGGATCAACTTCCCATAACTGAACGGAAGCAAACTCAGAACATTCTTTGTGATGTTTGTATTCAACTCACAGAGTTGAACCTTCCTTTGATAGTTCAGGTTTGCAACACCCTTGTAGTAGAATCTGCAAGTGTATATTTTGACCACTTTGTAGCCTTCGTTTGAAACGTCTATATCTTCACATCAAACCTAGCCAGAAGCATTCTCAGAAAGTTTTCTGCGATGACTGCATTCAACTCACAGAGTTGAACAATCCTTCTGATGGAGCAGTTTTGAAACCCTCTTTCTTTGGAATCTGCAAGGGGATATGTGGACCTCTTTGAAGATTTCACTGGAAACGGGATCATCTTCACATAAAAACTAAACAGGAAGCATTCTCGGAAACTACTTTGTGATGTTTGCATTCAACTGCCAGAGTTGAACATTCCTTTTGAAAGAGCAGCTATGAAACACTCTTTTTGGAGAATCTACAAGTGGACGTTTGGAGGGCTTTGAGGCCTGTGGTGGAAAAGGAAATATCTTCACATAAAAACTAGATAGAAGCATTCTCAGAAATTAATTTGTGACGATGGCATTCAACTCACGGAGTTGAACAATCCTATTGATAGAGCAGATTGGAAACACTCTTTTTGTAGAATCTGCAAATGGAGATTTGGACTGCTTTGAGGCCTACGGTAGTATAGGAAGGAAATTCATAAAAAAGCAAACGGAAGCATTCTCAGAATATTCTTTGTGATGATGGAGTTTCACTCACAGAGCTGAACATGCCTTTTGATGGAGCAGTTTCCAAATACACTTTTGGTAGAATCTGCAGGTGGATATTTGGAGCTCTTTGAGGATTTCGTTGGAAACGGGAATAATTTCCCATAACTAAACACAAACACGCTGAGAAAGTTCTTCATGATGAATCCATTTAACTCGCAGAGATGAACCTGCCTTTGAGAGTTCAGGTTCGAAACACTCTTTCTGTAGAATCTGCAAGTGGATATTTGGACCACTGGGTGGCCTTCGTTCGAAACGGGTATATGTTCACGTAAAAACTAAAGAGAAGCATTCTCAGAAACTTCTGAGTGATGATTGCATTCAAGTCACACAGTTGAACCCTCCTTTTGATGGAGCAGTTTTGAAACTGTCTTTTTGTAGAATCTGTAAGTGGATACGTGGACCTCTTTGAAGATTTCTTTGGAAACGGGAATATTTCCACAGAAAAACTAAACTGAAGCATTCTCAGAAACCGCTTTGTGATGTTTGTGTTCGAGCCACAGAGTTTAACATTGCTTTTCACAAAGCAGTTTTGAAATATTCTTTTGGCAGAATCTGCAAGTGGACATTTGGAGCGCTTTCAGGCCTGTGGTGGCAAAGGCCTGAAAGCATTTATTTATCTTCACAGAAAGACGAGAGAGAAGCATTGTCAGAAACTTCTTTGTGATGATTGCATTCAACTCACAGAGTTGAAGATTCCTTTTGAAACAGCAGTTTCGAAACACTCTTTCTGTGGGATCCGCAAGGGGATATTTGGACTTCTTTGAAGGTTTCGTTGGAAACGGGATAATCTTCACCTAAAAGCTAAACGGAAGCACTCTCAGAAACTTCTTTGGGATGTTTGCATTCACCTCTCAGAGTTGAACTTTCCCTTTGATAGCGCAGCTTTGACACACTTTTTCTACAATGTGCAAGTGGCTATTTAGCGGACTTGGAGGAATGTGTTGGAAAAGGAAATATCTTCTCCTAAAAACGACATAGAAGCATTCTCAGAAACTGCTCTGTGATGATTGCATTCAACTCCCAGAGTTGAACATTCCTTTTGATAGAGCAGTTTGCAAACACTCTTTTTGTAGAATCTGCAAGTGGAGATTTTGACCGCTTTGAGGCCTGGGGTAGTAAAGGAAAGAGCTTCATATAAAAACCAGACGGTAGCACTCTCAGAAAATTCTTTGTGACGATGGAGTTTAACTCAGGGAGCTGAACATTCGTTATGATGGAGCAGTTTCCAAAAACACGTTTTGTAGAATCTGCAAGGGGATATTTGGACCTCTCTGAGGATTTCGTTGGAAACGGGATCAACTTCCCATAACTGAACGGAAGCAAACTCAGAACATTCTTTGTGATGTTTGTATTCAACTCACAGAGTTGAACCTTCCTTTGATAGTTCAGGTTTGCAACACCCTTGTAGTAGTATCTGCAAGTGTATATTTTGACCACTTTGTAGCCTTCGTTTGAAACGTCTATATCTTCACATCAAACCTAGACAGAAGCATTCTCAGAAAGTTTTCTGCGATGACTGCATTCAACTCACAGAGTTGAACAATCCTTCTGATGGAGCAGTTTTGAAACCCTCTTTCTTTGGAATCTGCAAGGGGATATGTGGACCTCTTTGAAGATTTCACTGGAAACGGGATCATCTTCACATAAAAACTAAACAGAAGCATTCTCGGAAACTACTTTGTGATGTTTGTATTCAACTGCCAGAGTTGAACTTTCCTTTTGAAAGAGCAGCTATGAAACACTCTTTTTCGAGAATCTGCAAGTGGACGTTTGTAGGGCTTTGAGGCCTGTGGTGGAAAAGGAAATATCTTCACATAAAAACTAGATAGAAGCATTCTCAGAAACTACTTTGTGAGGATGGCATTCAACTCATGGAGTTGAACAATCCTATTGATAGAGCAGATTGGAATCACTCTTTTTATAGAATCTGCAAATGGAGATTTGGACTGCTTTGAGGCCTACGGTAGTACAGGAAGGAACTTTAGATAAAAGGCAAACGGAAGCATTCTCAGAATATTCTTTGTGATGATGGAGTTTCACTCACAGAGCTGAACATGCCTTTTGATGGAGCAGTTTCCAAATACACTTTTGGTAGAATCTGCAGGTGGATATTTGGAGCTCTCTGAGGATTTCGTTGGAAACGGGAATAATTTCCCATAACTAAACACAAACACTCTGAGAAAGTTCTTCATGATGAATGCATTGAACTCGCAGAGATGAACCTGCCTTTGAGAGTTCAGGTTCGAAACACTCTTTCTGTAGAATCTGCAAGTGGATATTTGGACCACTGGGTGGCCTTCGTTCAAAACGGGTATATGTTCACGTAAAAACTAAAGAGAAGCATTCTCAGAAACTTCTGAGTGATGATTGCATTCAAGTCACACAGTTGAACCCTCCTTTTGATGGAGCAGTTTTGAAACTGTCTTTTTGTAGAATCTGTAAGTGGATACGTGGACCTCTTTGAAGATTTCTTTGGAAACGGGAATATTTCCACAGAAAAACTAAACTGAAGCATTCTCAGAAACTGCTTTGTGATGTTTGTGTTCGAGCCACAGAGTTTAACATTGCTTTTCATAGAGCAGTTTTGAAATATTCTTTTCGCAGAATCTGCAAGTGGACATTTGGAGCGCTTTCAGGCCTGTGGTGGAAAAGGCCTGAAAGCCTTTTCCTTTATCTTCACAGAAAGACGAGAGAGAAGCATTGTCAGAAACTTCTTTGTGATGATTGCATTCAACTCACAGAGTTGAAGATTCCTTTTGAAACAGCAGTTTCGAAACACTCTTTCTGTGGGATCCGCAAGGGGATATTTGGACCTCTTTGAAGATTTCGTTGGAAACGGGATAATCTTCACCTAAAAGCTAAACGGAAGCATTCTCAGAAACTTCTTTGGGATGTTTGCATTCACCTCACATAGTTGAACTTTCCCTTTGATAGCGCAGCTTCGACACACTTTTTCTACAATGTGCAAGTGGATATTTAGCGGGCTTGGAGGACTGTGTTGGAAAAGGAAATATCTTCTCCTAAAAACGACATAGAAGCATTCTCAGTAAACTGCTCTGTGATGATTGCATTCAACTCCCAGAGTTGAACATTCCTTTTGATAGAGCAGTTTGCAAACACTCTTTTTGTAGAATCTGCAAGTGGAGATTTGGACCGCTTTGAGGCCTGTGGTAGTGAAGGAAAGAACTTCATATAAAAACCAGACGGTAGCACTCTCAGAAAATTCTTTGTGACGATGGAGTTTAACTCAGGGAGCTGAACATTCGTTACGATGGAGCAGATTCCAAACACACGTTTTGTAGAATCTGCAAGGGGATATTTGGACCTCTCTGAGGATTTCGTTGGAAACGGGATCAACTTCCCATAACTGAACGGAAGCAAACTCAGAACATTCTTTGTGATGTTTGTATTCAACTCACAGAGTTGAACCTTCCTTTGATAGTTCAGGTTTGCAACACCCTTGTAGTAGAATCTGCAAGTGTATATTTTGACCACTTTGTAGCCTTCGTTTGAAACATCTATATCTTCACATCAAACCTAGACAGAAGCATTCTCAGAAAGTTTTCTGCGATGACTGCATTCAACTCACAGAGTTGAACAATCCTTCTGATGGAGCAGTTTTGAAACCCTCTTTCTTTGGAATCTGCAAGGGGATATGTGGACCTCTTTGAAGATTTCACTGGAAACGGGATCATCTTCACATAAAAACTAAACTGAAGCATTCTCGGAAACTATTTTGTGATGTTTGTATTCAACTCCCAGAGTTGAACTTTCCTTTTGAAAGAGCAGCTATGAAACACTCTTTTTCGAGAATCTGCAAGTGGACGTTTGGAGGGCTTTGAGGCCTGTGGTGGAAAAGGAAATATCTTCACACAAAAACCAGATAGAAGCATTCTCAGAAACTACTTTGTGAGGATGGCATTCAACTCATGGAGTTGAACAATCCTATTGATAGAGCAGATTGGAATCACTCTTTTTGTAGAATCTGCAAATGGAGATTTGGACTGCTTTGAGGCCTACGGTAGTACAGGAAGGAACTTCATATAAAAGGCAAACGGAAGCATTCTCAGAATATTCTTTGTGATGATGGAGTTTCACTCACAGAGCTGAACATGCCTTTTGATGGAGCAGTTTCCAAATACACTTTTGGTAGAATCTGCAGGTGGATATTTGGAGCTCTCTGAGGATTTCGTTGGAAACGGGAATAATTTCCCATAACTAAACACAAACACTCTGAGAAAGTTCTTCATGATGAATGCATTTAACTCGCAGAGATGAACCTGCCTTTGAGAGTTCAGGTTCGAAACACTCTTTCTGTAGAATCTGCAAGTGGATATTTGGACCACTGGCTGGCCTTCGTTCGAAACGGGTATATGTTCACGTAAAAACTAAAGAGAAGCATTCTCAGAAACTTCTGAGTGATGATTGCATTCAAGTCACACAGTTGAACCCTCCTTTTGATGGAGCAGTTTTGAAACTGTCTTTTTGTAGAATCTGTAAGTGGATACGTGGACCTCTTTGAAGATTTCTTTGGAAACGGGAATATTTCCACAGAAAAACTAAACTGAAGCATTCTCAGAAACCGCTTTGTGATGTTTGTGTTCGAGCCACAGAGTTTAACATTGCTTTTCATAGAGCAGTTTTGAAATATTCTTTTGGCAGAATCTGCAAGTGGACATTTGGAGCGCTTTCAGGCCTGTGGTGGCAAAGGCCTGAAAGCCTTTTCCTTTATCTTCACAGAAAGACGAGAGAGAAGCATTGTCAGAAACTTCTTTGTGATGATTGCATTCAACTCACAGAGTTGAAGATTCCTTTTGAAACAGCAGTTTCGAAACACTCTTTCTGTGGGATCCGCAAGGGGATATTTGGACCTCTTTGAAGGTTTCGTTGGAAACGGGATAATCTTCACCTAAAAGCTAAACGGAAGCATTCTCAGAAACTTCTTTGGGATGTTTGCATTCACCTCACAGAGTTGAACTTTCCCTTTGATAGCGCAGCTTCGACACACTTTTTCTACAATGTGCAAGTGGCTATTTAGCGGGCTTGGAGGACTGTGTTGGAAAAGGAAATATCTTCTCCTAAAAACGACATAGAAGCATTCTCAGAAACTGCTCTGTGATGATTGCATTCAACTCCCAGAGTTGAACATTCCTTTTGATAGAGCAGTTTGCAAACACTCTTTTTGTAGAATCTGCAAGTGGAGATTTGGACCGCTTTGAGGCCTGTGGTAGTGAAGGAAAGAACTTCATATAAAAACCAGACGGTAGCACTCTCAGAAAATTCTTTGTGACGATGGAGTTTAACTCAGGGAGCTGAACATTCGTTATGATGGAGCAGTTTCCAAACACACGTTTTGTAGAATCTGCAAGGGGATATTTGGACCTCTCTGAGGATTTCGTTGGAAACGGGATCAACTTCCCATAACTGAACGGAAGCAAACTCAGAACATTCTTTGTGATGTTTGTATTCAACTCACAGAGTTGAACCTTCCTTTGATAGTTCAGGTTTGCAACACCCTTGTAGTAGAATCTGCAAGTGTATATTTTGACCACTTTGTAGCCTTCGTTTGAAACGTCTATATCTTCACATCAAACCTAGACAGAAGCATTCTCAGAAAGTTTTCTGCGATGACTGCATTCAACTCACAGAGTTGAACAATCCTTCTGATGGAGCAGTTTTGAAACCCTCTTTCTTTGGAATCTGCAAGGGGATATGTGGACCTCTTTGAAGATTTCACTGGAAACGGGATCATCTTCACATAAAAACTAAACAGAAGCATTCTCGGAAACTACTTTGTGATGTTTGTATTCAACTGCCAGAGTTGAACTTTCCTTTTGAAAGAGCAGCTATGAAACACTCTTTTTCGAGAATCTGCAAGTGGACGTTTGGAGGGCTTTGAGGCCTGTGGTGGAAAAGGAAATATCTTCACATAAAAACTAGATAGAAGCATTCTCAGAAACGACTTTGTGAGGATGGCATTCAACTCATGGAGTTGAACAATCCTATTGATAGAGCAGATTGGAATCACTCTTTTTGTAGAATCTGCAAATGGAGATTTGGACTGCTTTGAGGCCTACGGTCATATAGGAAGGAACTTCAGATAAAAGGCAAACGGAAGCATTCTCAGAATATTCTTTGTGATGATGGAGTTTCACTCACAGAGCTGAACATGCCTTTTGATGGAGCAGTTTCCAAATACACTTTTGGTAGAATCTGCAGGTGGATATTTGGACCACTCTGAGGATTTCGTTGGAAACGGGAATAATTTCCCATAACTAAGCACAAACACTCTGAGAAAGTTCTTCATGATGAATGCATTTAACTCGCAGAGATGAACCTGCCTTTGAGAGTTCAGGTTCGAAACACTCTTTCTGTATAATCTGCAAGTGGATATTTGGACCACTGGGTGGCCTTCGTTCGAAACGGGTATATGTTCACGTAAAAACTAAAGAGAAGCATTCTCAGAAACTTCTGAGTGATGATTGCATTCAAGTCACACAGTTGAACCCTCCTTTTGATGGAGCAGTTTTGAAACTGTCTTTTTGTAGAATCTGTAAGTGGATACGTGGACCTCTTTGAAGATTTCTTTGGAAACGGGAATATTTCCACAAAAAAACTAAACTGAAGCATTCTCAGAAACCGCTTTGTGATGTTTGTGTTCGAGCCACAGAGTTTAACATTGCTTTTCATAGAGCAGTTTTGAAATATTCTTTTCGCAGAATCTGCAAGTGGACATTTGGAGCGCTTTCAGGCCTGTGGTGGAAAAGGCCTGAAAGCCTTTTCCTTTATCTTCACAGAAAGACGAGAGAGAAGCATTGTCAGAAACTTCTTTGTGATGATTGCATTCAACTCACAGAGTTGAAGATTCCTTTTGAAACAGCAGTTTCGAAACACTCTTTCTGTGGGATCCGCAAGGGGATATTTGGACCTCTTTGAAGGTTTCGTTGGAAACGGGATAATCTTCACCTAAAAGCTAAACGGAAGCATTCTCAGAAACTTCTTTGGGATGTTTGCATTCACCTCACAGAGTTGAACTTTCCCTTTGATAGCGCAGCTTTGACACACTTTTTCTACAATGTGCAAGTGGCTATTTAGCGGGCTTGGAGGACTGTGTTGGAAAAGGAAATATCTTCTCCTAAAAACGACATAGAAGCATTCTCAGAAACTGCTCTGTGATGATTGCATTCAACTCCCAGAGTTGAACATTCCTTTTGATAGAGCAGTTTGCAAACACTCTTTTTGTAGAATCTGCAAGTGGAGATTTGGACTGCTTTGAGGCCTGTGGTAGTGAAGGAAAGAACTTCATATAAAAACCAGACGGTAGCACTCTCAGAAAATTCTTTGTGACGATGGAGTTTAACTCAGGGAGCTGAACATTCGTTATGATGGAGCAGTTTCCAAACACACGTTTTGTAGAATCTGCGAGGGGATATTTGGACCTCTCTGAGGATTTCGTTGGAAACGGGATCAACTTCCCATAACTGAACGGAAGCAAACTCAGAACATTCTTTGTGATGTTTGTATTCAATTCACAGAGTTGAACCTTCCTTTGATAGTTCAGGTTTGCAACACCCTTGTAGTAGAATCTGCAAGTGTATATTTTGACCACTTTGTAGCCTTCGTTTGAAACGTCTATATCTTCACATCAAACCTAGACAGAAGCATTCTCAGAAAGTTTTCTGCGATGACTGCATTCAACTCACAGAGTTGAACAATCCTTCTGATGGAGCAGTTTTGAAACCCTCTTTCTTTGGAATCTGCAAGGGGATATGTGGACCTCTTTGAAGATTTCACTGGAAACGGGATCATCTTCACATAAAAACTAAACAGAAGCATTCTCGGAAACTACTTTGTGATGTTTGTATTCAACTCCCAGAGTTGAACTTTCCTTTTGAAAGAGCAGCTATGAAACACTCTTTTTCGAGAATCTGCAAGTGGACGTTTGGAGGGCTTTGAGGCCTGTGGTGGAAAAGGAAATATCTTCACATAAAAACTAGATAGAAGCATTCTCAGAAACTACTTTGTGAGGATGGCATTCAACTCATGGAGTTGAACAATCCTATTGATAGAGCAGATTGGAATCACTCTTTTTGTAGAATCTGCAAATGGAGATTTGGACTGCTTTGAGGCCTACGGTCGTATAGGAAGGAACTTCATATAAAAGGCAAACGGAAGCATTCTCAGAATATTCTTTGTGATGATGGAGTTTCACTCACAGAGCTGAACATGCCTTTTGATGGAGCAGTTTCCAAATACACTTTTGGTAGAATCTGCAGGTGGATATTTGGAGCTCTCTGAGGATTTCGTTGGAAACGGGAATAATTTCCCATAACTAAACACAAACACTCTGAGAAAGTTCTTCATGATGAATGCATTTAACTCGCAGAGATGAACCTGCCTTTGAGAGTTCAGGTTCGAAACACTCTTTCTGTAGAATCTGCAAGTGGATATTTGGACCACTGGGTGGCCTTCGTTCGAAACGGGTATATGTTCACGTAAAAACTAAAGAGAAGCATTCTCAGAAACTTCTGAGTGATGATTGCATTCAAGTCACACAGTTGAACCCTCCTTTTGATGGAGCAGTTTTGAAACTGTCTTTTTGTAGAATCTGTAAGTGCATACGTGGACCTCTTTGAAGATTTCTTTGGAAACGGGAATATTTCCACAGAAAAACTAAACTGAAACATTCTCAGAAACCGCTTTGTGATGTTTGTGTTCCAGCCACAGAGTTTAACATTGCTTTTCATAGAGCAGTTTTGAAATATTCTTTTGGCAGAATCTGCAAGTGGACATTTGGAGCGCTTTCAGGCCTGTGGTGGAAAAGGCCTGAAAGCCTTTTCCTTTATCTTCACAGAAAGACGAGAGAGAAGCATTGTCAGAAACTTCTTTGTGATGATTGCATTCAACTCACAGAGTTGAAGATTCCTTTTGAAACAGCAGTTTCGAAACACTCTTTCTGTGGGATCCGCAAGGGGATATTTGGACCTCTTTGAAGGTTTCGTTGGAAACGGGATAATCTTCACCTAAAAGCTAAACGGAAGCATTCTCAGAAACTTCTTTGGGATGTTTGCATTCACCTCACAGAGTTGAACTTTCCCTTTGATAGCGCAGCTTTGACACACTTTTTCTACAATGTGCAAGTGGCTATTTAGCGGGCTTGGAGGACTGTGTTGGAAAAGGAAATATCTTCTCCTAAAAACGACATAGAAGCATTCTCAGAAACTGCTCTGTGATGATTGCATTCAACTCCCAGAGTTGAACATTCCTTTTGATAGAGCAGTTTGCAAACACTCTTTTTGTAGAATCTGCAAGTGGAGATTTGGACCGCTTTGAGGCCTGTGGTAGTAAAGGAAAGAACTTCATATAAAAACCAGACGGTAGCACTCTCAGAAAATTCTTTGTGACGATGGAGTTTAACTCAGAGAGCTGAACATTCGTTATGATGGAGCAGTTTCCAAACACACGTTTTGTAGAATCTGCAAGGGGATATTCGGACCTCTCTGAGGATTTCGTTGGAAACGGGATCAACGTCCCATAACTGAACGGAAGCAAACTCAGAACATTCTTTGTGATGTTTGTATTCAACTCACAGAGTTGAACCTTCCTTTGATAGTTCAGGTTTGCAACACCCTTGTAGTAGAATCTGCAAGTGTATATTTTGACCACTTTGTAGCCTTCGTTTGAAACGTCTATATCTTCACATCAAACCTAGACAGAAGCATTCTCAGAAAGTTTTCTGCGATGACTGCATTCAACTCACAGAGTTGAACAATCCTTTTGATGGAGCAGTTTTGAAACCCTCTTTCTTTGGAATCTGCAAGGGGATATGTGGACCTCTTTGAAGATTTCACTGGAAACGGGATCATCTTCACATAAAAACTAAACAGAAGCATTCTCGGAAACTACTTTGTGATGTTTGTATTCAACTACCAGAGTTGAACTTTCCTTTTGAAAGAGCAGCTATGAAACACTCTTTTTCGAGAATCTGCAAGTGGACGTTTGGAGGGCTTTGAGGCCTGTGGTGGAAAAGGAAATATCTTCACATAAAAACTAGACAGAAGCATTCTCAGAAACTACTTTGTGAGGATGGCATTCAACTCATGGAGTTGAACAATCCTATTGATAGAGCAGATTGGAATCACTCTTTTTGTAGAATCTGCAAATGGAGATTTGGACTGCTTTGAGGCCTACGGTCGTATAGGAAGGAACTTCATATAAAAGGCAAACGGAAGCATTCTCAGAATATTCTTTGTGATGATGGAGTTTCACTCACAGAGCTGAACATGCCTTTTGATGGAGCAGTTTCCAAATACACTTTTGGTAGAATCTGCAGGTGGATATTTGGAGCTCTCTGAGGATTTCGTTGGAAACGGGAATAATTTCCCATAACTAAACACAAACACTCTGAGAAAGTTCTTCATGATGAATGCATTTAACTCGCAGAGATGAACCTGCCTTTGAGAGTTCAGGTTCGAAACACTCTTTCTGTAGAATCTGCAAGTGGATATTTGGACCACTGGCTGGCCTTCGTTCGAAACGGGTATATGTTCACGTAAAAACTAAAGAGAAGCATTCTCAGAAACTTGTGAGTGATGATTGCATTCAAGTCACACAGTTGAACCCTCCTTTTGATGGAGCAGTTTTGAAACTGTCTTTTTGTAGAATCTGTTAGTGGATACGTGGACCTCTTTGAAGATTTCTTTGGAAACGGGAATATTTCCACAGAAAAACTAAACTGAAGCATTCTCAGAAACTGCTTTGTGATGTTTGTGTTCGAGCCACAGAGTTTAACATTGCTTTTCATAGAGCAGTTTTGAAATATTCTTTTCGCAGAATCTGCAAGTGGACATTTGGAGCGCTTTCAGGCCTGTAGTGGCAAAGGCCTGAAAGCCTTTTCCTTTATCTTCACAGAAAGACGAGAGAGAAGCATTGTCAGAAACTTCTTTGTGATGATTGCATTCAACTCACAGAGTTGAAGATTCCTTTTGAAACAGCAGTTTCGAAACACTCTTTCTGTGGGATCCGCAAGGGGATATTTGGACCTCTTTGAAGGTTTCGTTGGAAACGGGATAATCTTCACCTAAAAGCTAAACGGAAGCATTCTCAGAAACTTCTTTGGGATGTTTGCATTCACCTCACAGAGTTGAACTTTCCCTTTGATAGCGCAGCTTTGACACACTTTTTCTACAATGTGCAAGTGGCTATTTAGCGGGCTTGGAGGACTGTGTTGGAAAAGGAAATATCTTCTCCTAAAAACGACATAGAAGCATTCTCAGAAACTGCTCTGTGATGATTGCATTCAACTCCCAGAGTTGAACATTCCTTTTTATAGAGCAGTTTGCAAACACTCTTTTTGTAGAATCTGCAAGTGGAGATTTGGACCGCTTTGAGACCAGTGGTAGTGAAGGAAAGAACTTCATATAAAAACCAGACGGTAGCACTCTCAGAAAATTCTTTGTGACGATGGAGTTTAACTCAGGGAGCTGAACATTCGTTATGATGGAGCAGTTTCCAAACACACGTTTTGTAGAATCTGCAAGGGGATATTTGGACCTCTCTGAGGATTTCGTTGGAAACGGGATCAACTTCCCATAACTGAACGGAAGCAAACTCAGAACATTCTTTGTGATGTTTGTATTCAACTCACAGAGTTGAACCTTCCTTTGATAGTTCAGGTTTGCAACACCCTTGTAGTAGAATCTGCAAGTGTATATTTTGACCACTTTGTAGCCTTCATTTGAAACGTCTATACCTTCACATCAAACCTAGACAGAAGCATTCTCAGAAAGTTTTCTGCGATGACTGCATTCAACTCACAGAGTTGAACAATCCTTCTGATGGAGCAGTTTTGAAACCCTCTTTCTTTGGAATCTGCAAGGGGATATGTGGACCTCTTTGAAGATTTCACTGGAAACGGGATCATCTTCAAATAAAAACTAAACAGAAGCATTCTCGGAAACTACTTTGTGATGTTTGTATTCAACTCCCAGAGTTGAACTTTCCTTTTGAAAGAGCAGCTATGAAACACTCTTTTTCGAGAATCTGCAAGTGGACGTTTCGAGGGCTTTGAGGCCTGTGGTGGAAAAGGAAATATCTTCACACAAAAACCAGATAGAAGCATTCTCAGAAACTACTTTGTGAGGATGGCATTCAACTCATGGAGTTGAACAATCCTATTGATAGAGCAGATTGGAATCACTCTTTTTGTAGAATCTGCAAATGGAGATTTGGACTGCTTTGAGGCCTACGGTAGTACAGGAAGGAAGTTCATATAAAAGGCAAACGGAAGCATTCTCAGAATATTCTTTGTGATGATGGAGTTTCACTCACAGAGCTGAACATGCCTTTTGATGGAGCAGTTTCCAAATACACTTTTGGTAGAATCTGCAGGTGGATATTTGGAGCTCCCTGAGGATTTCGTTGGAAACGGGAATAATTTCCCATAACTAAACACAAACACTCTGAGAAAGTTCTTCATGATGAATGCATTTAACTCGCAGAGATGAACCTGCCTTTGAGAGTTCAGGTTCGAAACACTCTTTCTGTAGAATCTGCAAGTGGATATTTGGACCACTGGGTGGCCTTCGTTCGAAACGCGTATATGTTCACGTAAAAACTAAAGAGAAGCATTCTCAGAAACTTCTGAGTGATGATTGCATTCAAGTCACACAGTTGAACCCTCCTTTTGATGGAGCAGTTTTGAAACTGTCTTTTTGTAGAATCTGTAAGTGGATACGTGGACCTCTTTGAAGATTTCTTTGGAAACGGGAATATTTCCACAGAAAAACTAAACTGAAACATTCTCAGAAACCGCTTTGTGATGTTTGTGTTCCAGCCACAGAGTTTAACATTGCTTTTCATAGAGCAGTTTTGAAATATTCTTTTGGCAGAATCTGCAAGTGGACATTTGGAGCGCTTTCAGGCCTGTGGTGGAAAAGGCCTGAAAGCCTTTTCCTTTATCTTCACAGAAAGACGAGAGAGAAGCATTGTCAGAAACTTCTTTGTGATGATTGCATTCAACTCACAGAGTTGAAGATTCCTTTTGAAACAGCAGTTTCGAAACACTCTTTCTGTGGGATCCGCAAGGGGATATTTGGACCTCTTTGAAGGTTTCGTTGGAAACGGGATAATCTTCACCTAAAAGCTAAACGGAAGCATTCTCAGAAACTTCTTTGGGATGTTTGCATTCACCTCACAGAGTTGAACTTTCCCTTTGATAGCGCAGCTTTGACACACTTTTTCTACAATGTGCAAGTGGCTATTTAGCGGGCTTGGAGGACTGTGTTGGAAAAGGAAATATCTTCTCCTAAAAACGACATAGAAGCATTCTCAGAAACTGCTCTGTGATGATTGCATTCAACTCCCAGAGTTGAACATTCCTTTTGATAGAGCAGTTTGCAAACACTCTTTTTGTAGAATCTGCAAGTGGGGATTTGGACCGCTTTGAGGCCTGTGGTAGTGAAGGAAAGAACTTCATATAAAAACCAGACGGTAGCACTCTCAGAAAATTCTTTGTGACGATGGAGTTTAACTCAGGGAGCTGAACATTCGTTATGATGGAGCAGTTTCCAAACAAACGTTTTGTAGAATCTGCGAGGGGATATTTGGACCTCTCTGAGGATTTCGTTGGAAACGGGATCAACTTCCCATAACTGAACGGAAGCAAACTCAGAACATTCTTTGTGATGTTTGTATTCAACTCACAGAGTTGAACCTTCCTTTGATAGTTCAGGTTTCCAACACCCTTGTAGTAGAATCTGCAAGTGTATATTTTGACCACGTTGTAGCCTTCGTTTGAAACGTCTATATCTTCACATCAAACCTAGACAGAAGCATTCTCAGAAAGTTTTCTGCGATGACTGCATTCAACACACAGAGTTGAACAATCCTTTTGATGGAGCAGTTTTGAAACCCTCTTTCTTTGGAATCTGCAAGGGGATATGTGGACCTCTTTGAAGATTTCACTGGAAACGGGATCATCTTCACATAAAAACTAAACAGAAGCATTCTCGGAAACTATTTTGTGATGTTTGTATTCAACTCCCAGAGTTGAACTTTCCTTTTGAAAGAGAAGCTATGAAACACTCTTTTTCGAGAATCTGCAAGTGGACGTTTGGGGGGCTTTGAGGCCTGTGGTGGAAAAGGAAATATCTTCACACAAAAACCAGATAGAAGCATTCTCAGAAACTACTTTGTGAGGATGGCATTCAACTCATGGAGTTGAACAATCCTATTGATAGAGAAGATTGGAATCACTCTTTTTGTAGAATCTGCAAATGGAGATTTGGACTGCTTTGAGGCCTACGGTAGTACAGGAAGGAAGTTCATATAAAAGGCAAACGGAAGCATTCTCAGAATATTCTTTGTGATGATGGAGTTTCACTGACAGAGCTGAACATGCCTTTTGATGGAGCAGTTTCCAAATACACTTTTGGTAGAATCTGCAGGTGGATATTTGGAGCTCTCTGAGGATTTCGTTGGAAACGGGAATAATTTCCCATAACTAAACACAAACACTCTGAGAAAGTTCTTCATGATGAATGCATTTAACTCGCAGAGATGAACCTGCCTTTGAGAGTTCAGGTTCGAAACACTCTTTCTGTAGAATCTGCAAGTGGATATTTGGACCACTGGGTGGCGTTCGTTCGAAACGGGTATATGTTCACCTAAAAACTAAAGAGAAGCATTCTCAGAAACTTCTGAGTGATGATTGCATTCAAGTCACACGGTTGAACCCTCCTTTTGATGGAGCAGTTTTGAAACTGTCTTTTTGTAGAATCTGTAAGTGGATACGTGGACCTCTTTGAAGATTTCTTTGGAAACGGGAATATTTCCACAGAAAAACTAAACTGAAGCATTCTCAGAAACCGCTTTGTGATGTTTGTGTTCGAGCCACAGAGTTTAACATTGCTTTTCATAGAGCAGTTTTGAAATATTCTTTTCGCAGAATCTGCAAGTGGACATTTGGAGCGCTTTCAGGCCTGTGGTGGAAAAGGGCCTGAAAGCCTTTTCCTTTATCTTCACAGAAAGACGAGAGAGAAGCATTGTCAGAAACTTCTTTGTGATGATTGCATTCAACTCACAGAGTTGAAGATTCCTTTTGAAACAGCAGTTTCGAAACACTCTTTCTGTGGGATCCGCAAGGGGATATTTGGACCTCTTTGAAGGTTTCGTTGGAAACGGGATAATCTTCACCTAAAAGCTAAACGGAAGCATTCTCAGAAACTTCTTTGGGATGTTTGCATTCACCTCACAGAGTTGAACTTTCCCTTTGATAGCGCAGCTTTGACACACTTTTTCTACAATGTGCAAGTGGCTATTTAGCGGGCTTGGAGGACTGTGTTGGAAAAGGAAATATCTTCTCCTAAAAACGACATAGAAGCATTCTCAGAAACTGCTCTGTGATGATTGCATTCAACTCCCAGAGTTGAACATTCCTTTTGATAGAGCAGTTTGCAAACACTCTTTTTGTAGAATCTGCAAGTGGAGATTTGGACCGCTTTGAGGCCAGTGGTAGTGAAGGAAAGAACTTCATATAAAAACCAGACGGTAGCACTCTCAGAAAATTCTTTGTGACGATGGAGTTTAACTCAGGGAGCTGAACATTCGTTATGATGGAGCAGTTTCCAAACACACGTTTTGTAGAATCTGCAAGGGGATATTTGGACCTCTCTGAGGATTTCGTTGGAAACGGGATCAACTTCCCATAACTGAACGGAAGCAAACTCAGAACATTCTTTGTGATGTTTGTATTCAACTCACAGAGTTGAACCTTCCTTTGATAGTTCAGGTTTGCAACACCCTTGTAGTAGAATCTGCAAGTGTATATTTTGACCACTTTGTAGCCTTCGTTTGAAACGTCTATATCTTCACATCAAACCTAGACAGAAGCATTCTCAGAAAGATTTCTGCGATGACTGCATTCAACTCACAGAGTTGAACAATCCTCTGATGGAGCAGTTTTGAAACCCTCTTTCTTTGGAATCTGCAAGGGGATATGTGGACCTCTTTGAAGATTTCACTGGAAACGGGATCATCTTCACATAAAAACTAAACAGAAGCATTCTCGGAAACTATTTTGTGATGTTTGTATTCAACTCCCAGAGTTGAACTTTCCTTTTGAAAGAGCAGCTATGAAACACTCTTTTTCGAGAATCTGCAAGTGGACGTTTGGAGGGCTTTGAGGCCTGTGGTGGAAAAGGAAATATCTTCACACAAAAACCAGATAGAAGCATTCTCAGAAACTACTTTGTGAGGATGGCATTCAACTCATGGAGTTGAACAATCCTATTGATAGAGCAGATTGGAATCACTCTTTTTATAGAATCTGCAAATGGAGATTTGGACTGCTTTGAGGCCTACGGTAGTACAGGAAGGAACTTCATATAAAAGGCAAACGGAAGCATTCTCAGAATATTCTTTGTGATGATGGAGTTTCACTCACAGAGCTGAACATGCCTTTTGATGGAGCAGTTTCCAAATACACTTTTGGTAGAATCTGCAGGTGGATATTTGGAGCTCTCTGAGGATTTCGTTGGAAACGGGAATAATTTCCCATAACTAAACACAAACACTCTGAGAAAGTTCTTCATGATGAATGCATTTAACTCGCAGAGATGAACCTGCCTTTGAGAGTTCAGGTTCGAAACCCTCTTTCTGTAGAATCTGCAAGTGGATATTTGGACCACTGGCTGGCCTTCGTTCGAAACGGGTATATGTTCACGTAAAAACTAAAGAGAAGCATTCTCAGAAACTTCTGAGTGATGATTGCATTCAAGTCACACAGTTGAACCCTCCTTTTGATGGAGCAGTTTTGAAACTGTCTTTTTGTAGAATCTGTAAGTGGATACGTGGACCTCTTTGAAGATTTCTTTGGAAACGGGAATATTTCCACAGAAAAACTAAACTGAAGCATTCTCAGAAACCGCTTTGTGATGTTTGTGTTCGAGCCACAGAGGTTAACATTGTTTTTCATAGAGCAGTTTTGAAATATTCTTTTCGCAGAATCTGCAAGTGGACATTTGGAGCGCTTTCAGGCCTGTGGTGGCAAAGGCCTGAAAGCCTTTTCCTTTATCTTCACAGAAAGACGAGAGAGAAGCATTGTCAGAAACTTCTTTGTGATGATTGCATTCAACTCACAGAGTTGAAGATTCCTTTTGAAACAGCAGTTTCGAAACACTCTTTCTGTGGGATCCGCAAGGGGATATTTGGACCTCTTTGAAGGTTTCGTTGGAAACGGGATAATCTTCACCTAAAAGCTAAACGGAAGCATTCTCAGAAACTTCTTTGGGATGTTTGCATTCACCTCACAGAGTTGAACTTTCCCTTTGATAGCGCAGCTTTGACACACTTTTTCTACAATGTGCAAGTGGCTATTTAGCGGGCTTGGAGGACTGTGTTGGAAAAGGAAATATCTTCTCCTAAAAACGACATAGAAGCATTCTCAGAAACTGCTCTGTGATGATTGCATTCAACTCCCAGAGTTGAACATTCCTTTTGATAGAGCAGTTTGCAAACACTCTTTTTGTAGAATCTGCAAGTGGAGATTTGGACCGCTTTGAGGCCTGTGGTAGTGAAGGAAAGAACTTCATATAAAAACCAGACGGTAGCACTCTCAGAAAATTCTTTGTGACGATGGAGTTTAACTCAGGGAGCTGAACATTCGTTATGATGGAGCAGTTTCCAAACACACGTTTTGTAGAATCTGCGAGGGGATATTTGGACCTCTCTGAGGATTTCGTTGGAAACGGGATCAACTTCCCATAACTGAACGGAAGCAAACTCAGAACATTCTTTGTGATGTTTGTATTCAACTCACAGAGTTGAACCTTCCTTTGATAGTTCAGGTTTGCAACACCCTTGTAGTAGAATCTGCAAGTGTATATTTTGACCACTTTGTAGCCTTCGTTTGAAACGTCTATATCTTCACATCAAACCTAGACAGAAGCATTCTCAGAAAGTTTTCTGCGATGACTGCATTCAACTCACAGAGTTGAATAATCCTTCTGATGGAGCAGTTTTGAAACCCTCTTTCTTTGGAATCTGCAAGGGGATATGTGGACCTCTTTGAAGATTTCACTGGAAACGGGATCATCTTCACATAAAAACTAAACAGAAGCATTCTCGGAAACTACTTTGTGATGTTTGTATTCAACTCCCAGAGTTGAACTTTCCTTTTGAAAGAGCAGCTATGAAACACTCTTTTTCGAGAATCTGCAAGTGGACGTTTGGAGGGCTTTGAGGCCTGTGGTGGAAAAGGAAATATCTTCACACAAAAACCAGATAGAAGCATTCTCAGAAACTGCTTTGTGAGGATGGCATTCAACTCATGGAGTTGAACAATCCTATTGATAGAGCAGATTGGAATCACTCTTTTTGTAGAATCTGCAAATGGAGATTTGGACTGCTTTGAGGCCTACGGTAGTACAGGAAGGAACTTCATATAAAAGGCAAACGGAAGCATTCTCAGAATATTCTTTGTGATGATGGAGTTTCACTCACAGAGCTGAACATGCCTTTTGATGGAGCAGTTTCCAAATACACTTTTGGTAGAATCTGCAGGTGGATATTTGGAGCTCTCTGAGGATTTCGTTGGAAAGGGGAATAATTTCCCATAACTAAACACAAACACTCTGAGAAAGTTCTTCATGATGAATGCATTTAACTCGCAGAGATGAACCTGCCTTTGAGAGTTCAGGTTCGAAACACTCTTTCTGTATAATCTGCAAGTGGATATTTGGACCACTGGGTGGCCTTCGTTCGAAACGGGTATATGTTCACGTAAAAACTAAAGAGAAGCATTCTCAGAAATTTCTGAGTGATGATTGCATTCAAGTCACACGGTTGAACCCTCCTTTTGATGGAGCAGTTTGAAACTGTCTTTTTGTAGAATCTGTAAGTGGATACGTGGACCTCTTTGAAGATTTCTTTCGAAACGGGAATATTTCCACAGAAAAACTAAACTGAAGCATTCTCAGAAACCGCTTTGTGATGTTTGTGTTCGAGCCACAGAGTTTAACATTGCTTTTCATAGAGCAGTTTTGAAATATTCTTTTCGCAGAATCTGCAAGTGGACATTTGGAGCGCTTTCAGGCCTGTGGTGGCAAAGGCCTGAAAGCCTTTTCCTTTATCTTCACAGAAAGACGAGAGAGAAGCATTGTCAGAAACTTCTTTGTGATGATTGCATTCAACTCACAGAGTTGAAGATTCCTTTTGAAACAGCAGTTTCGAAACACTCTTTCTGTGGGATCCGCAAGGGGATATTTGGACCTCTTTGAAGGTTTCGTTGGAAACGGGATAATCTTCACCTAAAAGCTAAACGGAAGCATTCTCAGAAACTTCTTTGGGATGTTTGCATTCACCTCACAGAGTTGAACTTTCCCTTTGATAGCGCAGCTTTGACACACTTTTTCTACAATGTGCAAGTGGCTATTTAGCGGGCTTGGAGGA
The DNA here is from genome assembly GCF_000001405.40 of Homo sapiens. Classification (NCBI taxonomy): domain Eukaryota; kingdom Metazoa; phylum Chordata; class Mammalia; order Primates; family Hominidae; genus Homo; species Homo sapiens. The sequence goes on from NC_000023.11 coordinate 59,909,543, forward strand.
CTGTGTTGGAAAAGGAAATATCTTCTCCTAAAAACGACATAGAAGCATTCTCAGAAACTGCTCTGTGATGATTGCATTCAACTCCCAGAGTTGAACATTCCTTTTGATAGAGCAGTTTGCAAACACTCTTTTTGTAGAATCTGCAAGTGGAGATTTGGACCGCTTTGAGGCCTGTGGTAGTGAAGGAAAGAGCTTCATATAAAAACCAGACGGTAGCACTCTCAGAAAATTCTTTGTGACGATGGAGTTTAACTCAGGGAGCTGAACATTCGTTATGATGGAGCAGTTTCCAAACACACGTTTTGTAGAATCTGCAAGGGGATATTTGGACCTCTCTGAGGATTTCGTTGGAAACGGGATCAACTTCCCATAACTGAACGGAAGCAAACTCAGAACATTCTTTGTGATGTTTGTATTCAACTCACAGAGTTGAACCTTCCTTTGATAGTTCAGGTTTGCAACACCCTTGTAGTAGAATCTGCAAGTGTATATTTTGACCACTTTGTAGCCTTCGTTTGAAACGTCTATATCTTCACATCAAACCTAGACAGAAGCATTCTCAGAAAGTTTTCTGCGATGACTGCATTCAACTCACAGAGTTGAACAATCCTTCTGATGGAGCAGTTTTGAAACCCTCTTTCTTTGGAATCTGCAAGGGGATATGTGGACCTCTTTGAAGATTTCACTGGAAACGGGATCATCTTCACATAAAAACTAAACAGAAGCATTCTCGGAAACTACTTTGTGATGTTTGTATTCAACTCCCAGAGTTGAACTTTCCTTTTGAAAGAGCAGCTATAAAACACTCTTTTTCGAGAATCTGCAAGTGGACGTTTGGAGGGCTTTGAGGCCTGTGGTGGAAAAGGAAATATCTTCACATAAAAACTAGATAGAAGCATTCTCAGAAACGACTTTGTGAGGATGGCATTCAACTCATGGAGTTGAACAATCCTATTGATAGAGCAGATTGGAATCACTCTTTTTGTAGAATCTGCAAATGGAGATTTGGACTGCTTTGAGGCCTACGGTCGTATAGGAAGGAACTTCAGATAAAAGGCAAACGGAAGCATTCTCAGAATATTCTTTGTGATGATGGAGTTTCACTCACAGAGCTGAACATGCCTTTTGATGGAGCAGTTTCCAAATACACTTTTGGTAGAATCTGCAGGTGGATATTTGGACCACTCTGAGGATTTCGTTGGAAACGGGAATAATTTCCCATAACTAAACACAAACACTCTGAGAAAGTTCTTCATGATGAATGCATTTAACTCGCAGAGATGAACCTGCCTTTGAGAGTTCAGGTTCGAAACACTCTTTCTGTATAATCTGCAAGTGGATATTTGGACCACTGGGTGGCCTTCGTTCGAAACGGGTATATGTTCACGTAAAAACTAAAGAGAAGCATTCTCAGAAACTTCTGAGTGATGATTGCATTCAAGTCACACAGTTGAACCCTCCTTTTGATGGAGCAGTTTTGAAACTGTCTTTTTGTAGAATCTGTAAGTGGATACGTGGACCTCTTTGAAGATTTCTTTGGAAACGGGAATATTTCCACAGAAAAACTAAACTGAAACATTCTCAGAAACCGCTTTGTGATGTTTGTGTTCCAGCCACAGAGTTTAACATTGCTTTTCATAGAGCAGTTTTGAAATATTCTTTTGGCAGAATCTGCAAGTGGACATTTGGAGCGCTTTCAGGCCTGTGGTGGAAAAGGCCTGAAAGCCTTTTCCTTTATCTTCACAGAAAGACGAGAGAGAAGCATTGTCAGAAACTTCTTTGTGATGATTGCATTCAACTCACAGAGTTGAAGATTCCTTTTGAAACAGCAGTTTCGAAACACTCTTTCTGTGGGATCCGCAAGGGGATATTTGGACCTCTTTGAAGGTTTCGTTGGAAACGGGATAATCTTCACCTAAAAGCTAAACGGAAGCATTCTCAGAAACTTCTTTGGGATGTTTGCATTCACCTCACAGAGTTGAACTTTCCCTTTGATAGCGCAGCTTTGACACACTTTTTCTACAATGTGCAAGTGGCTATTTAGCGGGCTTGGAGGACTGTGTTGGAAAAGGAAATATCTTCTCCTAAAAACGACATAGAAGCATTCTCAGAAACTGCTCTGTGATGATTGCATTCAACTCCCAGAGTTGAACATTCCTTTTGATAGAGCAGTTTGCAAACACTCTTTTTGTAGAATCTGCAAGTGGAGATTTGGACCGCTTTGAGGCCTGTGGTAGTGAAGGAAAGAACTTCATATAAAAACCAGACGGTAGCACTCTCAGAAAATTCTTTGTGACGATGGAGTTTAACTCAGGGAGCTGAACATTCGTTATGATGGAGCAGTTTCCAAACACACGTTTTGTAGAATCTGCGAGGGGATATTTGGACCTCTCTGAGGATTTCGTTGGAAACGGGATCAACTTCCCATAACTGAACGGAAGCAAACTCAGAACATTCTTTGTGATGTTTGTATTCAATTCACAGAGTTGAACCTTCCTTTGATAGTTCAGGTTTGCAACACCCTTGTAGTAGAATCTGCAAGTGTATATTTTGACCACTTTGTAGCCTTCGTTTGAAACGTCTATATCTTCACATCAAACCTAGACAGAAGCATTCTCAGAAAGTTTTCTGCGATGACTGCATTCAACTCACACAGTTGAACAATCCTTCTGATGGAGCAGTTTTGAAACCCTCTTTCTTTGGAATCTGCAAGGGGATATGTGGACCTCTTTGAAGATTTCACTGGAAACGGGATCATCTTCACATAAAAACTAAACAGAAGCATTCTCGGAAACTATTTTGTGATGTTTGTATTCAACTCCCAGAGTTGAACTTTCCTTTTGAAAGAGCAGCTATGAAACACTCTTTTTCGAGAATCTGCAAGTGGACGTTTGGAGGGCTTTGAGGCCTGTGGTGGAAAAGGAAATATCTTCACACAAAAACCAGATAGAAGCATTCTCAGAAACGACTTTGTGAGGATGGCATTCAACTCATGGAGTTGAACAATCCTATTGATAGAGCAGATTGGAATCACTCTTTTTGTAGAATCTGCAAATGGAGATTTGGACTGCTTTGAGGCCTACGGTAGTACAGGAAGGAACTTCATATAAAAGGCAAACGGAAGCATTCTCAGAATATTCTTTGTGATGATGGAGTTTCACTGACAGAGCTGAACATGCCTTTTGATGGAGCAGTTTCCAAATACACTTTTGGTAGAATCTGCAGGTGGATATTTGGAGCTCTCTGAGGATTTCGTTGGAAACGGGAATAATTTCCCATAACTAAACGCAAACACTCTGAGAAAGTTCTTCATGATGAATGCATTTAACTCGCAGAGATGAACCTGCCTTTGAGAGTTCAGGTTCGAAACTCTCTTTCTGTAGAATCTGCAAGTGGATATTTGGACCACTGGCTGGCCTTCGTTCGAAACGGGTATATGTTCACGTAAAAACTAAAGAGAAGCATTCTCAGAAACTTCTGAGTGATGATTGCATTCAAGTCACACAGTTGAACCCTCCTTTTGATGGAGCAGTTTTGAAACTGTCTTTTTGTAGAATCTGTAAGTGGATACGTGGACCTCTTTGAAGATTTCTTTGGAAACGGGAATATTTCCACAGAAAAACTAAACTGAAACATTCTCAGAAACCGCTTTGTGATGTTTGTGTTCCAGCCACAGAGTTTAACATTGCTTTTCATAGAGCAGTTTTGAAATATTCTTTTGGCAGAATCTGCAAGTGGACATTTGGAGCGCTTTCAGGCCTGTGGTGGCAAAGGCCTGAAAGCCTTTTCCTTTATCTTCACAGAAAGACGAGAGAGAAGCATTGTCAGAAACTTCTTTGTGATGATTGCATTCAACTCACAGAGTTGAAGATTCCTTTTGAAACAGCAGTTTCGAAACACTCTTTCTGTGGGATCCGCAAGGGGATATTTGGACCTCTTTGAAGGTTTCGTTGGAAACGGGATAATCCTCACCTAAAAGCTAAACGGAAGCATTCTCAGAAACTTCTTTGGGATGTTTGCATTCACCTCACAGAGTTGAACTTTCCCTTTGATAGCGCAGCTTTGACACACTTTTTCTACAATGTGCAAGTGGCTATTTAGCGGGCTTGGAGGACTGTGTTGGAAAAGGAAATATCTTCTCCTAAAAACGACATAGAAGCATTCTCAGAAACTGCTCTGTGATGATTGCATTCAACTCCCAGAGTTGAACATTCCTTTTGATAGAGCAGTTTGCAAACACTCTTTTTGTAGAATCTGCAAGTGGAGATTTGGACCGCTTTGAGGCCTGTGGTAGTGAAGGAAAGAACTTCATATAAAAACCAGACGGTAGCACTCTCAGAAAATTCTTTGTGACGATGGAGTTTAACTCAGGGAGCTGAACATTCGTTATGATGGAGCAGTTTCCCAACACACGTTTTGTAGAATCTGCAAGGGGATATTTGGACCTCTCTGAGGATTTCGTTGGAAACGGGATCAACTTCCCATAACTGGACGGAAGCAAACTCAGAACATTCTTTGTGATGTTTGTATTCAACTCACAGAGTTGAACCTTCCTTTGATAGTTCAGGTTTGCAACACCCTTGTAGTAGAATCTGCAAGTGTATATTTTGACCACTTTGTAGCCTTCGTTTGAAACGTCTATATCTTCACATCAAACCTAGACAGAAGCATTCTCAGAAAGTTTTCTGCGATGACTGCATTCAACTCACAGAGTTGAACAATCCTTCTGATGGAGCAGTTTTGAAACCCTCTTTCTTTGGAATCTGCAAGGCGATATGTGGACCTCTTTGAAGATTTCACTGGAAACGGGATCATCTTCACATAAAAACTAAACAGAAGCATTCTCGGAAACTACTTTGTGATGTTTGTATTCAACTCCCAGAGTTGAACTTTCCTTTTGAAAGAGCAGCTATGAAACACTCTTTTTCGAGAATCTGAAAGTGGACGTTTGGAGGGCTTTGAGGCCTGTGGTGGAAAAGGAAATATCTTCACATAAAAACTAGATAGAAGCATTCTCAGAAACGACATTTTGAGGATGGCATTCAACTCATGGAGTTGAACAATCCTATTGATAGAGCAGATTGGAATCACTCTTTTTGTAGAATCTGCAAATGGAGATTTGGACTGCTTTGAGGCCTACGGTAGTATAGGAAGGAACTTCATATAAAAGGCAAACGGAAGCATTCTCAGAATATTCTTTGTGATGATGGAGTTTCACTGACAGAGCTGAACATGCCTTTTGATGGAGCAGTTTCCAAATACACTTTTGGTAGAATCTGCAGGTGGATATTTGGAGCTCTCTGAGGATTTCGTTGGAAACGGGAATAATTTCCCATAACTAAATACAAACACTCTGAGAAAGTTCTTCATGATGAATGCATTTAACTCGCAGAGATGAACCTGCCTTTGAGAGTTCAGGTTCGAAACACTCTTTCTGTAGAATCTGCAAGTGGATATTTGGACCACTGGCTGGCCTTCGTTCGAAACGGGTATATGTTCACGTAAAAACTAAAGAGAAGCATTCTCAGAAACTTCTGAGTGATGATTGCATTCAAGTCACACGGTTGAACCCTCCTTTTGATGGAGCAGTTTTGAAACTGTCTTTTTGTAGAATCTGTAAGTGGATACGTGGACCTCTTTGAAGATTTCTTTGGAAACGGGAATATTTCCACAGAAAAACTAAACTGAAGCATTCTCAGAAACCGCTTTGTGATGTTTGTGTTCGAGCCACAGAGTTTAACATTGCTTTTCATAGAGCAGTTTTGAAATATTCTTTTGGCAGAATCTGCAAGTGGACATTTGGAGCGCTTTCAGGCCTGTGGTGGAAAAGGCCTGAAAGCCTTTTCCTTTATCTTCACAGAAAGACGAGAGAGAAGCATTGTCAGAAACTTCTTTGTGATGATTGCATTCAACTCACAGAGTTGAAGATTCCTTTTGAAACAGCAGTTTCGAAACACTCTTTCTGTGGGATCCGCAAGGGGATATTTGGACCTCTTTGAAGGTTTCGTTGGAAACGGGATAATCTTCACCTAAAAGCTAAACGGAAGCATTCTCAGAAACTTCTTTGGGATGTTTGCATTCACCTCACAGAGTTGAACTTTCCCTTTGATAGCGCAGCTTCGACACACTTTTTCTACAATGTGCAAGTGGCTATTTAGCGGGCTTGGAGGACTGTGTTGGAAAAGGAAATATCTTCTCCTAAAAACGACATAGAAGCCTTCTCAGAAACTGCTCTGTGATGATTGCATTCAACTCCCAGAGTTGAACATTCCTTTTGATAGAGCAGTTTGCAGACACTCTTTTTGTAGAATCTGCAAGTGGAGATTTGGACCGCTTTGAGGCCTGTGGTAGTAAAGGAAAGAACTTCATATAAAAACTAGACGGTAGCACTCTCAGAAAATTCTTTGTGACGATGGAGTTTAACTCAGAGAGCTGAACATTCGTTATGATGGAGCAGTTTCCAAACACACGTTTTGTAGAATCTGCAAGGGAATATTTGGACCTCTCTGAGGATTTCGTTGGGAAGGGGATCAACTTCCCATAACTGAACGGAAGCAAACTCAGAACATTCTTTGTGATGTTTGTATTCAACCCACAGAGTTGAACCTTCCTTTGATAGTTCAGGTTTGCAACACCCTTGTAGTAGAATCTGCAAGTGTATATTTTGACCACTTTGTAGCCTTCGTTTGAAACGTCTATATCTTCACATCAAACCTAGACAGAAGCATTCTCAGAAAGTTTTCTGCGATGACTGCATTCAACTCACAGAGTTGAACAATCCTTTTGATGGAGCAGTTTTGAAACCCTCTTTCTTTGGAATCTGCAAGGGGATATGTGGACCTCTTTGAAGATTTCACTGGAAACGGGATCATCTTCACATAAGAACTAAACAGAAGCATTCTCGGAAACTATTTTGTGATGTTTGTATTCAACTCCCAGAGTTGAACTTTCCTTTTGAAAGAGCAGCTATGAAACACTCTTTTTCGAGAATCTGCAAGTGGACGTTTGGAGGGCTTTGAGGCCTGTGGTGGAAAAGGAAATATCTTCACACAAAAACCAGATAGAAGCATTCTCAGAAACTACTTTGTGAGGATGGCATTCAACTCATGGAGTTGAACAATCCTATTGATAGAGCAGATTGGAATCACTCTTTTTGTAGAATCTGCAAATGGAGATTTGGACTGCTTTGAGGACTACGGTAGTACAGGAAGGAACTTCATATAAAAGGCAAACGGAAGCATTCTCAGAATATTCTTTGTGATGATGGAGTTTCACTCACAGAGCTGAACATGCCTTTTGATGGAGCAGTTTCCAAATACACTTTTGGTAGAATCTGCAGGTGGATATTTGGAGCTCTCTGAGGATTTCGTTGGAAACGGGAATAATTTCCCATAACTAAACACAAACACTCTGAGAAAGTTCTTCATGATGAATGCATTTAACTCGCAGAGATGAACCTGCCTTTGAGAGTTCAGGTTCGAAACACTCTTTCTGTAGAATCTGCAAGTGGATATTTGGACCACTGGGTGGCCTTCGTTCGAAACGGGTATATGTTCACGTAAAAACTAAAGAGAAGCATTCTCAGAAACTTCTGAGTGATGATTGCATTCAAGTCACACAGTTGAACCCTCCTTTTGATGGAGCAGTTTTGAAACTGTCTTTTTGTAGAATCTGTAAGTGGATACGTGGACCTCTTTGAAGATTTCTTTGGAAACGGGAATATTTCCACAGAAAAACTAAACTGAAGCATTCTCAGAAACCGCTTTGTGATGTGTTTGTTCGAGCCACAGAGTTTAACATTGCTTTTCACAAAGCAGTTTTGAAATATTCTTTTCGCAGAATCTGCAAGTGGACATTTGGAGCGCTTTCAGGCCTGTGGTGGCAAAGGCCTGAAAGCATTTATTTATCTTCACAGAAAGACGAGAGAGAAGCATTGTCAGAAACTTCTTTGTGATGATTGCATTCAACTCACAGAGTTGAAGATTCCTTTTGAAACAGCAGTTTCGAAACACTCTTTCTGTGGGATCCGCAAGGGGATATTTGGACTTCTTTGAAGGTTTCGTTGGAAACGGGATAATCTTCACCTAAAAGCTAAACGGAAGCACTCTCAGAAACTTCTTTGGGATGTTTGCATTCACCTCTCAGAGTTGAACTTTCCCTTTGATAGCGCAGCTTTGACACACTTTTTCTACAATGTGCAAGTGGCTATTTAGCGGACTTGGAGGACTGTGTTGGAAAAGGAAATATCTTCTCCTAAAAACGACATAGAAGCATTCTCAGAAACTGCTCTGTGATGATTGCATTCAACTCCCAGAGTTGAACATTCCTTTTGATAGAGCAGTTTGCAAACACTCTTTTTGTAGAATCTGCAAGTGGAGATTTGGACCGCTTTGAGGCCAGTGGTAGTGAAGGAAAGAACTTCATATAAAAACCAGACGGTAGCACTCTCAGAAAATTCTTTGTGACGATGGAGTTTAACTCAGGGAGCTGAACATTCGTTATGATGGAGCAGTTTCCAAACACACGTTTTGTAGAATCTGCAAGGGGATATTTGGACCTCTCTGAGGATTTCGTTGGAAACGGGATCAACTTCCCATAACTGAACGGAAGCAAACTCAGAACATTCTTTGTGATGTTTGTATTCAACTCACAGAGTTGAACCTTCCTTTGATAGTTCAGGTTTGCAACACCCTTGTAGTAGAATCTGCAAGTGTATATTTTGACCACTTTGTAGCCTTCGTTTGAAACGTCTATATCTTCACATCAAACCTAGACAGAAGCATTCTCAGAAAGTTTTCTGCGATGACTGCATTCAACTCACAGAGTTGAACAATCCTTCTGATGGAGCAGTTTTGAAACCCTCTTTCTTTGGAATCTGCAAGGGGATATGTGGACCTCTTTGAAGATTTCACTGGAAACGGGATCATCTTCACATAAAAACTAAACAGAAGCATTCTCGGAAACTACTTTGTGATGTTTGTATTCAACTGCCAGAGTTGAACTTTCCTTTTGAAAGAGCAGCTATGAAACACTCTTTTTCGAGAATCTGCAAGTGGACGTTTGGAGGGCTTTGAGGCCTGTGGTGGAAAAGGAAATATCTTCACATAAAAACTAGATAGAAGCATTCTCAGAAACTACTTTGTGAGGATGGCATTCAACTCATGGAGTTGAACAATCCTATTGATAGAGCAGATTGGAATCACTCTTTTTGTAGAATCTGCAAATGGAGATTTGGACTGCTTTGAGGCCTACGGTCGTATAGGAAGGAACTTCATATAAAAGGCAAACGGAAGCATTCTCAGAATATTCTTTGTGATGATGGAGTTTCACTCACAGAGCTGAACATGCCTTTTGATGGAGCAGTTTCCAAATACACTTTTGGTAGAATCTGCAGGTGGATATTTGGAGCTCTTTGAGGATTTCTTTGGAAACGGGAATAATTTCCCATAACTAAACACAAACACGCTGAGAAAGTTCTTCATGATGAATGCATTTAACTCGCAGAGATGAACCTGCCTTTGAGAGTTCAGGTTCGAAACACTCTTTATGTAGAATCTGCAAGTGGATATTTGGACCACTGGGTGGCCTTCGTTCGAAACGGGTATATGTTCACGTAAAAACTAAAGAGAAGCATTCTCAGAAACTTCTGAGTGATGATTGCATTCAAGTCACACAGTTGAACCCTCCTTTTGATGGAGCAGTTTTGAAACTGTCTTTTTGTAGAATCTGTAAGTGGATACGTGGACCTCTTTGAAGATTTCTTTGGAAACGGGAATATTTCCACAGAAAAACTAAACTGAAGCATTCTCAGAAACCGCTTTGTGATGTTTGTGTTCCAGCCACAGAGTTTAACATTGCTTTTCATAGAGCAGTTTTGAAATATTCTTTTCGCAGAATCTGCAAGTGGACATTTGGAGCGCTTTCAGGCCTGTGGTGGAAAAGGCCTGAAAGCCTTTTCCTTTATCTTCACAGAAAGACGAGAGAGAAGCATTGTCAGAAACTTCTTTGTGATGATTGCATTCAACTCACAGAGTTGAAGATTCCTTTTGAAACAGCAGTTTCGAAACACTCTTTCTGTGGGATCCGCAAGGGGATATTTGGACCTCTTTGAAGGTTTCGTTGGAAACGGGATAATCTTCACCTAAAAGCTAAACGGAAGCATTCTCTGAAACTTCTTTGGGATGTTTGCATTCACCTCACAGAGTTGAACTTTCCCTTTGATAGCGCAGCTTTGACACACTTTTTCTACAATGTGCAAGTGGCTATTTAGCGGGCTTGGAGGACTGTGTTGGAAAAGGAAATATCTTCTCCTAAAAACGACATAGAAGCATTCTCAGAAACTGCTCTGTGATGATTGCATTCAACTCCCAGAGTTGAACATTCCTTTTGATAGAGCAGTTTGCAAACACTCTTTTTGTAGAATCTGCAAGTGGAGATTTGGACCGCTTTGAGGCCTGTGGTAGTGAAGGAAAGAACTTCATATAAAAACCAGACGGTAGCACTCTCAGAAAATTCTTTGTGACGATGGAGTTTAACTCAGGGAGCTGAACATTCGTTATGATGGAGCAGTTTCCAAACACATGTTTTGTAGAATCTGCGAGGGGATATTTGGACCTCTCTGAGGATTTCGTTGGAAACGGGATCAACTTCCCATAACTGAACGGAAGCAAACTCAGAACATTCTTTGTGATGTTTGTATTCAACTCACAGAGTTGAACCTTCCTTTGATAGTTCAGGTTTGCAACACCCTTGTAGTAGAATCTGCAAGTGTATATTTTGACCACTTTGTAGCCTTCGTTTGAAACGTCTATATCTTCACATCAAACCTAGACAGAAGCATTCTCAGAAAGTTTTCTGCGATGACTGCATTCAACTCACAGAGTTGAACAATCCTTCTGATGGAGCAGTTTTGAAACCCTCTTTCTTTGGAATCTGCAAGGGGATATGTGGACCTCTTTGAAGATTTCACTGGAAACGGGATCATCTTCACATAAAAACTAAACTGAAGCATTCTCGGAAACTATTTTGTGATGTTTGTATTCAACTCCCAGAGTTGAACTTTCCTTTTGAAAGAGCAGCTATGAAACACTCTTTTTCGAGAATCTGCAAGTGGACGTTTGGAGGGCTTTGAGGCCTGTGGTGGAAAAGGAAATATCTTCACACAAAAACCAGATAGAAGCATTCTCAGAAACTACTTTGTGAGGATGGCATTCAACTCATGGAGTTGAACAATCCTATTGATAGAGCAGATTGGAATCACTCTTTTTGTAGAATCTGCAAATGGAGATTTGGACTGCTTTGAGGCCTACGGTAGTACAGGAAGGAACTTCATATAAAAGGCAAACGGAAGCATTCTCAGAATATTCTTTGTGATGATGGAGTTTCACTGACAGAGCTGAACATGCCTTTTGATGGAGCAGTTTCCAAATACACTTTTGGTAGAATCTGCAGGTGGATATTTGGAGCTCTCTGAGGATTTCGTTGGAAACGGGAATAATTTCCCATAACTAAACACAAACACTCTGAGAAAGTTCTTCATGATGAATGCATTTAACTCGCAGAGATGAACCTGCCTTTGAGAGTTCAGGTTCGAAACACTCTTTCTGTAGAATCTGCAAGTTGATATTTGGACCACTGGCTGGCCTTCGTTCGAAACGGGTATATGTTCACGTAAAAACTAAAGAGAAGCATTCTCAGAAACTTCTGAGTGATGATTGCATTCAAGTCACACAGTTGAACCCTCCTTTTGATGGAGCAGTTTTGAAACTGTCTTTTTGTAGAATCTGTAAGTGGATACGTGGACCTCTTTGAAGATTTCTTTGGAAACGGGAATATTTCCACAGAAAAACTAAACTGAAGCATTCTCAGAAACTGCTTTGTGATGTTTGTGTTCGAGCCACAGAGTTTAACATTGCTTTTCATAGAGCAGTTTTGAAATATTCTTTTCGCAGAATCTGCAAGTGGACATTTGGAGCGCTTTCAGGCCTGTGGTGGAAAAGGCCTGAAAGCCTTTTCCTTTATCTTCACAGAAAGACGAGAGAGAAGCATTGTCAGAAACTTCTTTGTGATGATTGCATTCAACTCACAGAGTTGAAGATTCCTTTTGAAACAGCTGTTTCGAAACACTCTTTCTGTGGGATCCCCAAGGGGATATTTGGACCTCTTTGAAGGTTTCGTTGGAAACGGGATAATCTTCACCTAAAAGCTAAACGGAAGCATTCTCAGAAACTTCTTTGGGATGTTTGCATTCACCTCACAGAGTTGAACTTTCCCTTTGATAGCGCAGCTTTGACACACTTTTTCTACAATGTGCAAGTGGCTATTTAGCGGGCTTGGAGGACTGTGTTGGAAAAGGAAATATCTTCTCCTAAAAACGACATAGAAGCATTCTCAGAAACTGCTCTGTGATGATTGCATTCAACTCCCAGAGTTGAACATTCCTTTTGATAGAGCAGTTTGCAAACACTCTTTTTGTAGAATCTGCAAGTGGAGATTTGGACCGCTTTGAGGCCTGTGGTAGTGAAGGAAAGAACTTCATATAAAAACCAGACGGTAGCACTCTCAGAAAATTCTTTGTGACGATGGAGTTTAACTCAGGGAGCTGAACATTCGTTATGATGGAGCAGTTTCCAAACACACGTTTTGTAGAATCTGCGAGGGGATATTTGGACCTCTCTGAGGATTTCGTTGGAAACTGGATCAACTTCCCATAACTGAACGGAAGCAAACTCAGAACATTCTTTGTGATGTTTGTATTCAACTCACAGAGTTGAACCATCCTTTGATAGTTCAGGTTTGCAACACCCTTGTAGTAGAATCTGCAAGTGTATATTTTGACCACTTTGTAGCCTTCGTTTGAAACGTCTATATCTTCACATCAAACCTAGACAGAAGCATTCTCAGAAAGTTTTCTGCGATGACTGCATTCAACTCACAGAGTTGAACAATCCTTCTGATGGAGCAGTTTTGAAACCCTCTTTCTTTGGAATCTGCAAGGGGATATGTGGACCTCTTTGAAGATTTCACTGGAAACGGGATCATCTTCACATAAAAACTAAACAGAAGCATTCTCGGAAACTACTTTGTTATGTTTGTATTCAACTCCCAGAGTTGAACTTTCCTTTTGAAAGAGCAGCTATGAAACACTCTTTTTCGAGAATCTGCAAGTGGACGTTTGGAGGGCTTTGAGGCCTGTGGTGGAAAAGGAAATATCTTCACACAAAAACCAGATAGAAGCATTCTCAGAAACTACTTTGTGAGGATGGCATTCAACTCATGGAGTTGAACAATCCTATTGATAGAGCAGATTGGAATCACTCTTTTTGTAGAATCTGCAAATGGAGATTTGGACTGCTTTGAGGCCTACGGTCGTATAGGAAGGAACTTCATATAAAAGGCAAACGGAAGCATTCTCAGAATATTCTTTGTGATGATGGAGTTTCACTCACAGAGCTGAACATGCCTTTTGATGGAGCAGTTTCCAAATACACTTTTGGTAGAATCTGCAGGTGGATATTTGGAGCTCTCTGAGGATTTCGTTGGAAACGGGAATAATTTCCCATAACTAAACACAAACACTCTGAGAAAGTTCTTCATGATGAATGCATTTAACTCGCAGAGATGAACCTGCCTTTGAGAGTTCAGGTTCGAAACACTCTTTCTGTATAATCTGCAAGTGGATATTTGGACCACTGGGTGGCCTTCGATCGAAACGGGTATATGTTCACGTAAAAACTAAAGAGAAGCATTCTCAGAAACTTCTGAGTGATGATTGCATTCAAGTCACACAGTTGAACCCTCCTTTTGATGGAGCAGTTTTGAAACTGTCTTTTTGTAGAATCTGTAAGTGGATACGTGGACCTCTTTGAAGATTTCTTTGGAAACGGGAATATTTCCACAGAAAAACTAAACTGAATCATTCTCAGAAACTGCTTTGTGATGTTTGTGTTCGAGCCACAGAGTTTAACATTGCGTTTCATAGAGCAGTTTTGAAATATTCTTTTCGCAGAATCTGCAAGTGGACATTTGGAGCGCTTTCAGGCCTGTGGTGGAAAAGGCCTGAAAGCCTTTTCCTTTATCTTCACAGAAAGACGAGAGAGAAGCATTGTCAGAAACTTCTTTGTGATGATTGCATTCAACTCACAGAGTTGAAGATTCCTTTTGAAACAGCAGTTTCGAAACACTCTTTCTGTGGGATCCGCAAGGGGATATTTGGACCTCTTTGAAGGTTTCGTTGGAAACGGGATAATCTTCACCTAAAAGCTAAACGGAAGCATTCTCAGAAACTTCTTTGGGATGTTTGCATTCACCTCACAGAGTTGAACTTTCCCTTTGATAGCGCAGCTTTGACACACTTTTTCTACAATGTGCAAGTGGATATTTAGCGGGCTAGGAGGACTGTGTTGGAAAAGGAAATATCTTCTCCTAAAAACGACATAGAAGCATTCTCAGAAACTGCTCTGTGATGATTGCATTCAACTCCCAGAGTTGAACATTCCTTTTGATAGAGCAGTTTGCAAACACTCTTTTTGTAGAATCTGCAAGTGGAGATTTGGACCGCTTTGAGGCCTGTGGTAGTGAAGGAAAGAACTTCATATAAAAACCAGACGGTAGCACTCTCAGAAAATTCTTTGTGACGATGGAGTTTAACTCAGGGAGCTGAACATTCGTTATGATGGAGCAGTTTCCAAACACACGTTTTGTAGAATCTGCAAGGGGATATTTGGACCTCTCTGAGGATTTCGTTGGAAACGGGATCAACTTCCCATAACTGAACGGAAGCAAACTCAGAACATTCTTTGTGATGTTTGTATTCAACTCACAGAGTTGAACCTTCCTTTGATAGTTCAGGTTTGCAACACCCTTGTAGTAGAATCTGCAAGTGTATATTTTGACCACTTTGTAGCCTTCGTTTGAAACGTCTATATCTTCACATCAAACCTAGACAGAAGCATTCTCAGAAAGTTTTCTGCGATGACTGCATTCAACTCACAGAGTTGAACAATCCTTCTGATGGAGCAGTTTTGAAACCCTCTTTCTTTGGAATCTGCAAGGGGATATGTGGACCTCTTTGAAGATTTCACTGGAAACGGGATCATCTTCACATAAAAACTAAACAGAAGCATTCTCGGAAACTACTTTGTGATGTTTGTATTCAACTCCCAGAGTTGAACTTTCCTTTTGAAAGAGCAGCTATGAAACACTCTTTTTCGAGAATCTGCAAGTGGACGTTTGGAAGGCTTTGAGGCCTGTGGTGGAAAAGGAAATATCTTCACATAAAAACTAGATAGAAGCATTCTCAGAAACGACTTTGTGAGGATGGCATTCAACTCATGGAGTTGAACAATCCTATTGATAGAGCAGATTGGAATCACTCTTTTTGTAGAATCTGCAAATGGAGATTTGGACTGCTTTGAGGCCTACGGTCGTATAGGAAGGAACTTCATATAAAAGGCAAACGGAAGCATTCTCAGAATATTCTTTGTGATGATGGAGTTTCACTCACAGAGCGGAACATGCCTTTTGATGGAGCAGTTTCCAAATACACTTTTGGTAGAATCTGCAGGTGGATATTTGGAGCTCTCTGAGGATTTCGTTGGAAACGGGAATAATTTCCCATAACTAAACACAAACACTCTGAGAAAGTTCTTCATGATGAATGCATTTAACTCGCAGAGATGAACCTGCCTTTGAGAGTTCATGTTCGAAACACTCTTTCTGTAGAATCTGCAAGTGGATATTTGGACCACTGGGTGGCCTTCGTTCGAAACGGGTATATGTTCACGTAAAAACTAAAGAGAAGCATTCTCAGAAACTTCTGAGTGATGATTGCATTCAAGTCACACAGTTGAACCCTCCTTTTGATGGAGCAGTTTTGAAACTGTCTTTTTGTAGAATCTGTAAGTGGATACGTGGACCTCTTTGAAGATTTCTTTGGAAACGGGAATATTTCCACAGAAAAACTAAACTGAATCATTCTCAGAAACTGCTTTGTGATGTTTGTGTTCGAGCCACAGAGTTTAACATTGCTTTTCATAGAGCAGTTTTGAAATATTCTTTTCGCAGAATCTGCAAGTGGACATTTGGAGCGCTTTCAGGCCTGTGGTGGAAAAGGCCTGAAAGCCTTTTCCTTTATCTTCACAGAAAGACGAGAGAGAAGCATTGTCAGAAACTTCTTTTTGATGATTGCATTCAACTCACAGAGTTGAAGATTCCTTTTGAAACAGCAGTTTCGAAACACTCTTTCTGTGGGATCCGCAAGGGGATATTTGGACCTCTTTGAAGGTTTCGTTGGAAACGGGATAATCTTCACCTAAAAGCTAAACGGAAGCATTCTCAGAAACTTCTTTGGGATGTTTGCATTCACCTCACAGAGTTGAACTTTCCCTTTGATAGCGCAGCTTTGACACACTTTTTCTACAATGTGCAAGTGGCTATTTAGCGGGCTTGGAGGACTGTGTTGGAAAAGGAAATATCTTCTCCTAAAAACGACATAGAAGCATTCTCAGAAACTGCTCTGTGATGATTGCATTCAACTCCCAGAGTTGAACATTCCTTTTGATAGAGCAGTTTGCAAACACTCTTTTTGTAGAATCTGCAAGTGGAGATTTAGACCGCTTTGAGGCCTGTGGTAGTGAAGGAAAGAACTTCATATAAAAACCAGACGGTAGCACTCTCAGAAAATTCTTTGTGACGATGTAGTTTAACTCAGGGAGCTGAACATTCGTTATGATGGAGCAGTTTCCAAACACACGTTTTGTAGAATCTGCGAGGGGATATTTGGACCTCTCTGAGGATTTCGTTGGAAACGGGATCAACTTCCCATAACTGAACGGAAGCAAACTCAGAACATTCTTTGTGATGTTTGAATTCAACTCACAGAGTTGAACCTTCCTTTGATAGTTCAGGTTTGCAACACCCTTGTAGTAGAATCTGCAAGTGTATATTTTGACCACTTTGTAGCCTTCGTTTGAAACGTCTATATCTTCACATCAAACCTAGACAGAAGCATTCTCAGAAAGTTTTCTGCGATGACTGCATTCAACTCACAGAGTTGAACAATCCTTCTGATGGAGCAGTTTTGAAACCCTCTTTCTTTGGAATCTGCAAGGGAATATGTGGACCTCTTTGAAGATTTCACTGGAAACGGGATCATCTTCACATAAAAACTAAACAGAAGCATTCTCGGAAACTACTTTGTGATGTTTGTATTCAACTCCCAGAGTTGAACTTTCCTTTTGAAAGAGCAGCTATGAAACACTCTTTTTCGAGAATCTGCAAGTGGACGTTTGGAGGGCTTTGAGGCCTGTGGTGGAAAAGGAAATATCTTCACATAAAAACTAGATAGAAGCATTCTCAGAAACGACATTGTGAGGATGGCATTCAACTCATGGAGTTGAACAATCCTATTGATAGAGCAGATTGGAATCACTCTTTTTGTAGAATCTGCAAATGGAGATTTGGACTGCTTTGAGGCCTACGGTAGTATAGGAAGGAACTTCATATAAAAGGCAAACGGAAGCATTCTCAGAATATTCTTTGTGATGATGGAGTTTCACTCACAGAGCTGAACATGCCTTTTGATGGAGCAGTTTCCAAATACACTTTTGGTAGAATCTGCAGGTGGATATTTGGAGCTCTCTGAGGATTTCGTTGGAAACGGGAATAATTTCCCATAACTAAACACAAACACTCTGAGAAAGTTCTTCATGATGAATGCATTTAACTCGCAGAGATGAACCTGCCTTTGAGAGTTCAGGTTCGAAACACTCTTTCTGTAGAATCTGCAAGTGGATATTTGGACCACTGGGTGGCCTTCGTTCGAAACGGGTATATGTTCACGTAAAAACTAAAGAGAAGCATTCTCAGAAACTTCTGAGTGATGATTGCATTCAAGTCACACAGTTGAACCCTCCTTTTGATGGAGCAGTTTTGAAACTGTCTTTTTGTAGAATCTGTAAGTGGATACGTGGACCTCTTTGAAGATTTCTTTGGAAACGGGAATATTTCCACAGAAAAACTAAACTGAAACATTCTCAGAAACCACTTTGTGATGTTTGTGTTCCAGCCACAGAGTTTAACATTGCTTTTCATAGAGCAGTTTTGAAATATTCTTTTGGCAGAATCTGCAAGTGGACATTTGGAGCGCTTTCAGGCCTGTGGTGGAAAAGGCCTGAAAGCCTTTTCCTTTATCTTCACAGAAAGACGAGAGAGAAGCATTGTCAGAAACTTCTTTGTGATGATTGCATTCAACTCACAGAGTTGAAGATTCCTTTTGAAACAGCAGTTTCGAAACACTCTTTCTGTGGGATCCGCAAGGGGATATTTGGACCTCTTTGAAGGTTTCGTTGGAAACGGGATAATCTTCACCTAAAAGCTAAACGGAAGCATTCTCAGAAACTTCTTTGGGATGTTTGCATTCACCTCACAGAGTTGAACTTTCCCTTTGATAGCGCAGCTTTGACACACTTTTTCTACAATGTGCAAGTGGCTATTTAGCGGGCTTGGAGGACTGTGTTGGAAAAGGAAATATCTTCTCCTAAAAACGACATAGAAGCATTCTCAGAAACTGCTCTGTGATGATTGCATTCAACTCCCAGAGTTGAACATTCCTTTTGATAGAGCAGTTTGCAAACACTCTTTTTGTAGAATCTGCAAGTGGAGATTTGGACCGCTTTGAGGCCTGTGGTAGTGAAGGAAAGAACTTCATATAAAAACCAGACGGTAGCACTCTCAGAAAATTCTTTGTGACGATGGAGTTTAACTCAGGGAGCTGAACATTCGTTATGATGGAGCAGTTTCCAAACACACGTTTTGTAGAATCTGCGAGGGGATATTTGGACCTCTCTGAGGATTTCTTTGGAAACGGGATCAACTTCCCATAACTGAACGGAAGCAAACTCAGAACATTCTTTGTGATGTTTGTATTCAACTCACAGAGTTGAACCTTCCTTTGATAGTTCAGGTTTGCAACACCCTTGTAGTAGAATCTGCAAGTGTATATTTTGACCACTTTGTAGCCTTCGTTTGAAACGTCTATATCTTCACATCAAACCTAGACAGAAGCTTTCTCAGAAAGTTTTCTGCGATGACTGCATTCAACTCACAGAGTTGAACAATCCTTCTGATGGAGCAGTTTTGAAACCCTCTTTCTTTGGAATCTGCAAGGGGATATGTGGACCTCTTTGAAGATTTCACTGGAAACGGGATCATCTTCACATAAAAACTAAACAGAAGCATTCTCGGAAACTACTTTGTGATGTTTGTATTCAACTCCCAGAGTTGAACTTTCCTTTTGAAAGAGCAGCTATGAAACACTCTTTTTCGAGAATCTGCAAGTGGACGTTTGGAGGGCTTTGAGGCCTGTGGTGGAAAAGGAAATATCTTCACACAAAAACCAGATAGAAGCATTCTCAGAAACTACTTTGTGAGGATGGCATTCAACTCATGGAGTTGAACAATCCTATTGATAGAGCAGATTGGAATCACTCTTTTTATAGAATCTGCAAATGGAGATTTGGACTGCTTTGAGGCCTACGGTAGTACAGGAAGGAACTTCATATAAAAGGCAAACGGAAGCATTCTCAGAATATTCTTTGTGATGATGGAGTTTCACTCACAGAGCTGAACATGCCTTTTGATGGAGCAGTTTCCAAATACACTTTTGGTAGAATCTGCAGGTGGATATTTGGAGCTCTCTGAGGATTTCGTTGGAAACGGGAATAATTTCCCATAACTAAACACAAACACTCTGAGAAAGTTCTTCATGATGAATGCATTTAACTCGCAGAGATGAACCTGCCTTTGAGAGTTCAGGTTCGAAACACTCTTTCTGTAGAATCTGCAAGTGGATATTTGGACCACTGGGTGGCCTTCGTTCGAAACGGGTATATGTTCACGTAAAAACTAAAGAGAAGCATTCTCAGAAACTTCTGAGTGATGATTGCATTCAAGTCACACAGTTGAACCCTCCTTTTGATTGAGCAGTTTTGAAACTGTCTTTTTGTAGAATCTGTAAGTGGATACGTGGACCTCTTTGAAGATTTCTTTGGAAACGGGAATATTTCCACAGAAAAACTAAACTGAAGCATTCTCAGAAACTGCTTTGTGATGTTTGTGTTCGAGCCGCAGAGTTTAACATTGCTTTTCATAGAGCAGTTTTGAAATATTCTTTTGGCAGAATCTGCAAGTGGACATTTGGAGCACTTTCAGGCCTGTGGTGGAAAAGGCCTGAAAGCCTTTTCCTTTATCTTCACAGAAAGACGAGGGAGAAGCATTGTCAGAAACTTCTTTGTGATGATTGCATTCAACTCACAGAGTTGAAGATTCCTTTTGAAACAGCAGTTTCGAAACACTCTTTCTGTGGGATCTGCAAGGGGATATTTGGACCTCTTTGAAGATTTCGTTGGAAACGGGATAATCTTCACCTAAAAGCTGAACGGAAGCATTCTCAGAAATTTCTTTGGGATGTTTGCATTCACCTCACAGAGTTGAACTTTCCCTTTGATAGCGCAGCTTCGACACATTTCTCTACAATGTGCAAGTGGATATTTAGCGGGTTTGGAGGACTGTGTTGGAAAAGGAAATATCTTCTCCTAAAAACGACATAGAAGCATTCTCAGAAACTGCTCTGTGATGATTGCATTCAACTCCCAGAGTTGAACATTCCTTTTGATAGAGCGGTTTGCAAACACTCTTTTTGTAGAATCTGCAAGTGGAGATTTGGACCGCTTTGAGGCTTCTGGTAGTAAAGGAAAGAACTTCATATAAAAACTGGACGGTAGCACTCTCAGAAAACACTTTGTGACGATGGAGTTTAACTCAGGGAGCTGAACATTCGTTATGATGGAGCAGTTTCCAAACACACGTTTTGTAGAATCTGCAAGGGGATATTTGGTCCTCTCTGAGGATTTCGTTGGAAACGGGATCAACTTCCCATAACTGAACGGAAGCAAACTCAGAACATTCTCTGCGATGTTTGTATTCAACCCACAGAGTTGAACCTTCCTTTGATAGTTCAGGTTTGCAACACCCTTGTAGTACATTCTGCAAGTGTATATTTTGACCACTTTGTAGCCTTCGTTTGAAACGTCTATATCTTCACATCAAACCTAGACAGAAGCATTCTCAGAAAGTTTTCTGCGATGACTGCATTCAACTCACAGAGTTGAACAATCCTTCTGATGGAGCAGTTTTGAAACCCTCTTTCTTTGGAATCTGCAAGGGGATATGTGGACCTCTTTGAAGATTTCACTGGAAACGGGATCATCTTCACATAAAAACTAAACAGAAGCATTCTCGGAAACTACTTTGTGATGTTTGTATTCAACTCCCAGAGTTGAACTTTCCTTTTGAAAGAGCAGCTATGAAACACTCTTTTTCGAGAATCTGCAAGTGGACGTTTGGAGGGCTTGGAGGCCTGTGGTGGAAAAGGAAATACCTTCACATAAAAACTAGATAGAAGCATTCTCAGAAACTACTTTGTGAGGATGGCATTCAACTCATGGAGTTGAACAATCCTATTGATAGAGCAGATTGGAATCACTCTTTTTGTAGAATCTGCAAATGGAGATTTGGACTGCTTTGAGGCCTACGGTCGTATAGGAAGGAACTTCAGATAAAAGGCAAACGGAAGCATTCTCAGAATATTCTTTGTGATGATGGAATTTCACTCACAGAGCTGAACATGCCTTTTGATGGAGCAGTTTCCAAATACACTTTTGGTAGAATCTGCAGGTGGATATTTGGACCACTCTGAGGATTTCGTTGGAAACGGGAATAATTTCCCATAACTAAACACAAACACTCTGAGAAAGTTCTTCATGATGAATGCATTTAACTCGCAGAGATGAACCTGCCTTTGAGAGTTCAGGTTCGAAACACTCTTTCTGTATAATCTGCAAGTGGATATTTGGACCACTGGGTGGCCTTCGTTCGAAACGGGTATATGTTCACGTAAAAACTAAAGAGAAGCATTCTCAGAAACTTCTGAGTGATGATTGCATTCAAGTCACACAGTTGAACCCTCCTTTTGATGGAGCAGTTTTGAAACTGTCTTTTTGTAGAATCTGTAAGTGGATACGTGGACCTCTTTGAAGATTTCTTTGGAAACGGGAATATTTCCACAGAAAAACTAAACTGAAGCATTCTCAGAAACCGCTTTGTGATGTTTGTGTTCGAGCCACAGAGTTTACCATTGCTTTTCATAGAGCAGTTTTGAAATATTCTTTTCGCAGAATCTGCAAGTGGACATTTGGAGCGCTTTCAGGCCTGTGGTGGAAAAGGCCTGAAAGCCTTTTCCTTTATCTTCACAGAAAGACGAGAGAGAAGCATTGTCAGAAACTTCTTTGTGATGATTGCATTCAACTCACAGAGTTGAAGATTCCTTTTGAAACAGCAGTTTCGAAACACTCTTTCTGTGGGATCCGCAAGGGGATATTTGGACCTCTTTGAAGGTTTCGTTGGAAACGGGATAATCTTCACCTAAAAGCTAAACGGAAGCATTCTCAGAAACTTCTTTGGGATGTTTGCATTCACCTCACAGAGTTGAACTTTCCCTTTGATAGCGCAGCTTTGACACACTTTTTCTACAATGTGCAAGTGGCTATTTAGCGGGCTTGGAGGACTGTGTTGGAAAAGGAAATATCTTCTCCTAAAAACGACATAGAAGCATTCTCAGAAACTGCTCTGTGATGATTGCATTCAACTCCCAGAGTTGAACATTCCTTTTGATAGAGCAGTTTGCAAACACTCTTTTTGTAGAATCTGCAAGTGGAGATTTGGACCGCTTTGAGGCCTGTGGTAGTGAAGGAAAGAACTTCATATAAAAACCAGACGGTAGCACTCTCAGAAAATTCTTTGTGACGATGGAGTTTAACTCAGGGAGCTGAACATTCGTTATGATGGAGCAGTTTCCAAACACACGTTTTGTAGAATCTGCAAGGGGATATTTGGACCTCTCTGAGGATTTCGTTGGAAACGGGATCAACTTCCCATAACTGAACGGAAGCAAACTCAGAACATTCTTTGTGATGTTTGTATTCAACTCACAGAGTTGAACCTTCCTTTGATAGTTCAGGTTTGCAACACCCTTGTAGTAGAATCTGCAAGTGTATATTTTGACCACTTTGTAGCCTTCGTTTGAAACATCTATATCTTCACATCAAACCTAGACAGAAGCATTCTCAGAAAGTTTTCTGCGATGACTGCATTCAACTCACAGAGTTGAACAATCCTTTTGATGGAGCAGTTTTGAAACCCTCTTTCTTTGGAATCTGCAAGAGGATATGTGGACCTCTTTGAAGATTTCACTGGAAACGGGATCATCTTCACATAAAAACTAAACAGAAGCATTCTCGGAAACTATTTTGTGATGTTTGTATTCAACTCCCAGAGTTGAAATTTCCTTTTGAAAGAGCAGCTATGAAACACTCTTTTTCTAGAATCTGCAAGTGGACGTTTGGAGGGCTTTGAGGCCTGTGGTGGAAAAGGAAATATCTTCACACAAAAACCAGATAGAAGCATTCTCAGTAAACTACTTTGTGAGGATGGCATTCAACTCATGGAGTTGAACAATCCTATTGATAGAGCAGATTGGAATCACTCTTTTTATAGAATCTGCAAATGGAGATTTGGACTGCTTTGAGGCCTACGGTAGTACAGGAAGGAACTTCATATAAAAGGCAAACGGAAGCATTCTCAGAATATTCTTTGTGATGATGGAGTTTCACTCACAGAGCTGAACATGCCTTTTGATGGAGCAGTTTCCAAATACACTTTTGGTAGAATCTGCAGGTGGATATTTGGAGCTCTCTGAGGATTTCGTTGGAAACGGGAATAATTTCCCATAACTAAACACAAACACTCTGAGAAAGTTCTTCATGATGAATGCATTTAACTCGCAGAGATGAACCTGCCTTTGAGAGTTCAGGTTCGAAACACTCTTTCTGTAGAATCTGCAAGTGGATATTTGGACCACTGGGTGGCCTTCGTTCGAAACGCGTATATGTTCACGTAAAAACTAAAGAGAAGCATTCTCAGAAACTTCTGAGTGATGATTACATTCAAGTCACACAGTTGAACCCTCCTTTTGATGGAGCAGTTTTGAAACTGTCTTTTTGTAGAATCTGTAAGTGGATACGTGGACCTCTTTGAAGATTTCTTTGGAAACGGGAATATTTCCACAGAAAAACTAAACTGAAGCATTCTCAGAAACTGCTTTGTGATGTTTGTGTTCGAGCCACAGAGTTTAACACTGCTTTTCATAGAGCAGTTTTGAAATATTCTTTTGGCAGAATCTGCAAGTGGACATTTGGAGCGCTTTCAGGCCTGTGGTGGAAAAGGCCTGAAAGCCTTTTCCTTTATCTTCACAGAAAGACGAGAGAGAAGCATTCTCAGAAACTGCGCTGTGATGATTGCATTCAACTCCCAGAGTTGAACATTCCTTTTGATAGAGCAGTTTGCAAACACTCTTTTTGTAGAATCTGCAAGTGGAGATTTGGACCGCTTTGAGGCCTGCGGTAGTAAAGGAAAGAACTTCATATAAAAACCAGACGGTAGCACTCTCAGAAAATTCTTTGTGACGATGGAGTTTAACTCAGAGAGCTGAACATTCGTTATGATGGAGCAGTTTCCAAACACACGTTTTGTAGAATCTGCAAGGGGATATTTGGACCTCTCTGAGGATTTCGTTGGAAACGGTATCAATTTCCCATAACTAAACGGAAGCAAACTCAGAACATTTTTTGTGATGGTTGCATTCATCTCACAGAGTTGAACCTTCCTTTGATAGTTGAGGTTTGCATCACCCTTGTAGTAGAATCTGCAAGTGTATATTTTGACCACTTTGTAGCCTTCGTTTGAAACGTCTATATCTTCACATCAAACCTAGACAGAAGCATTCTCAGAAAGTTTTCTGCGATGACTGCATTCAACTCACAGAGTTGAACAATCCTTTTGATGGAGCAGTTTTGAAACCCTCTTTCTTTGGAATCTGCAAGGGGATATGTGGACCTCTTTGAAGATTTCACTGGAAACGGGATCATCTTCACATAAGAACTAAACAGAAGCATTCTCGGAAACTACTTTGTGATGTTTGTATTCAACTCCCAGAGTTGAACTTTCCTTTTGAAAGAGCAGGTATGAAACACTCTTTTTCGAGAATCTGCAAGTGGACGTTTGGAGGGCTTTGAGGCCTGTGGTGGAAAAGGAAATATCTTCACATAAAAACTAGATAGAAGCATTCTCAGAAACGACTTTGTGAGGATGGCATTCAACTCATGGAGTTGAACAGTCCTATTGATAGAGCAGATTGGAATCACTCTTTTTGTAGAATCTGCAAATGGAGATTTGGACTGCTTTGAGGCCTACGGTAGTATAGGAAGGAACTTCATATAAAAGGCAAACGGAAACACGCTGAGAAAGTTCTTCATGATGAATGCATTTAACTCGCAGAGATGAACCTGCCTTTGAGAGTTCAGGTTCGAAACACTCTTTCTGTAGAATCTGCAAGTGGATATTTGGACCACTGGGTGGCCTTCGTTCGAAACGGGTATATGTTCACGTAAAAACTAAAGAGAAGCATTCTCAGAAACTTCTGAGTGATGATTGCATTGAAGTCACACAGTTGAACCCTCCTTTTGATGGAGCAGTTTTGAAACTGTCTTTTTGTAGAATCTGTAAGTGGATACGTGGACCTCTTTGAAGATTTCTTTGGAAACGGGAATATTTCCACAGAAAAACTAAACTGAAGCATTCTCAGAAACCGCTTTGTGATGTTTGTGTTCGAGCCGCAGAGTTTAACATTGCTTTTCATAGAGCAGTTTTGAAATATTCTTTTGGCAGAATCTGCAAGTGGACATTTGGAGCGCTTTCAGGCCTGTGGTGGAAAAGGCCTGAAAGCCTTTTCCTTTATCTTCACAGAAAGACGAGAGAGAAGCATTGTCAGAAACTTCTTTGTGATGATTGCATTCAACTCACAGAGTTGAAGATTCCTTTTGAAACAGCAGTTTCGAAACACTCTTTCTGTGGGATCCGCAAGGGGATATTTGGACCTCTTTGAAGGTTTCGTTGGAAACGGGATAATCTTCACCTAAAAGCTAAACGGAAGCATTCTCAGAAACTTCTTTGGGATGTTTGCATTCACCTCACAGAGTTGAACTTTCCCTTTGATAGCGCAGCTTTGACACACTTTTTCTACAATGTGCAAGTGGCTATTTAGCGGGCTTGGAGGACTGTGTTGGAAAAGGAAATATCTTCTCCTAAAAACGACATAGAAGCATTCTCAGAAACTGCTCTGTGATGATTGCATTCAACTCCCAGAGTTGAACATTCCTTTTGATAGAGCAGTTTGCAAACACTCTTTTTGTAGAATCTGCAAGTGGAGATTTGGACCGCTTTGAGGCCTGTGGTAGTGAAGGAAAGAACTTCATATAAAAACCAGACGGTAGCACTCTCAGAAAATTCTTTGTGACGATGGAGTTTAACTCAGGGAGCTGAACATTCGTTATGATGGAGCAGTTTCCAAACACACGTTTTGTAGAATCTGCGAGGGGATATTTGGACCTCTCTGAGGATTTCGTTGGAAACGGGATCAACTTCCCATAACTGAACGGAAGCAAACTCAGAACATTCTTTGTGATGTTTGTATTCAACTCACAGAGTTGAACCTTCCTTTGATAGTTCAGGTTTGCAACACCCTTGTAGTAGAATCTGCAAGTGTATATTTTGACCACTTTGTAGCCTTCGTTTGAAACGTCTATATCTTCACATCAAACCTAGACAGAAGCATTCTCAGAAAGTTTTCTGCGATGACTGCATTCAACTCACAGAGTTGAACAATCCTTCTGATGGAGCAGTTTTGAAACCCTCTTTCTTTGGAATCTGCAAGGGGATATGTGGACCTCTTTGAAGATTTCACTGGAAACGGGATCATCTTCACATAAAAACTAAACAGAAGCATTCTCGGAAACTACTTTGTGATGTTTGTATTCAACTCCCAGAGTTGAACTTTCCTTTTGAAAGAGCAGCTATGAAACACTCTTTTTCGAGAATCTGCAAGTGGACGTTTGGAGGGCTTTGAGGCCTGTGGTGGAAAAGGAAATATCTTCACACAAAAACCAGATAGAAGCATTCTCAGAAACTACTTTGTGAGGATGGCATTCAACTCATGGAGTTGAACAATCCTATTGATAGAGCAGATTGGAATCACTCTTTTTATAGAATCTGCAAATGGAGATTTGGACTGCTTTGAGGCCTACGGTAGTACAGGAAGGAACTTCATATAAAAGGCAAACGGAAGCATTCTCAGAATATTCTTTGTGATGATGGAGTTTCACTCACAGAGCTGAACATGCCTTTTGATGGAGCAGTTTCCAAATACACTTTTGGTAGAATCTGCAGGTGGATATTTGGAGCTCTCTGAGGATTTCGTTGGAAACGGGAATAATTTCCCATAACTAAACACAAACACTCTGAGAAAGTTCTTCATGATGAATGCATTTAACTCGCAGAGATGAACCTGCCTTTGAGAGTTCAGGTTCGAAACACTCTTTCTGTATAATCTGCAAGTGGATATTTGGACCACTGGGTGGCCCTTCGTTCGAAACGGGTATATGTTCACGTAAAAACTAAAGAGAAGCATTCTCAGAAACTTCTGAGTGATGATTGCATTCAAGTCACACAGTTGAACCCTCCTTTTGATGGAGCAGTTTTGAAACTGTCTTTTTGTAGAATCTGTAAGTGGATACGTGGACCTCTTTGAAGATTTCTTTGGAAACGGGAATATTTCCACAGAAAAACTAAACTGAAGCATTCTCAGAGACCGCTTTGTGATGTTTGTGTTCGAGCCACAGAGTTTAACATTGCTTTTCATAGAGCAGTTTTGAAATATTCTTTTGGCAGAATCTGCAAGTGGACATTTGGAGCGCTTTCAGGCCTGTGGTGGCAAAGGCCTGAACGCCTTTTCCTTTATGTTCACAGAAAGACGAGAGAGAAGCATTGTCAGAAACTTCTTTGTGATGATTGCATTCAACTCACAGAGTTGAAGATTCCTTTTGAAACAGCAGTTTCGAAACACTCTTTCTGTGGGATCCGCAAGGGGATATTTGGACCTCTTTGAAGCTTTCGTTGGAAACGGGATAATCTTCACCTAAAAGCTAAACGGAAGCATTCTCAGAAACTTCTTTGGGATGTTTGCATTCACCTCACAGAGTTGAACTTTCCCTTTGATAGCGCAGCTTTGACACACTTTTTCTACAATGTGCAAGTGGCTATTTAGCGGGCTTGGAGGACTGTGTTGGAAAAGGAAATATCTTCTCCTAAAAACGACATAGAAGCATTCTCAGAAACTGCTCTGTGATGATTGCATTCAACTCCCAGAGTTGAACATTCCTTTTGATAGAGCAGTTTGCAAACACTCTTTTTGTAGAATCTGCAAGTGGAGATTTGGACCGCTTTGAGGTCTGTGGTAGTGAAGGAAAGAACTTCATATAAAAACCAGACGGTAGCACTCTCAGAAAATTCTTTGTGACGATGGAGTTTAACTCAGGGAGCTGAACATTCGTTATGATGGAGCAGTTTCCAAACACACGTTTTGTAGAATCTGCAAGGGGATATTTGGACCTCTCTGAGGATTTCGTTGGAAACGGGATCAACTTCCCATAACTGAATGGAAGCAAACTCAGAACATTCTTTGCGATGTTTGTATTCAACTCACAGAGTTGAACCTTCCTTTGATAGTTCAGGTTTGCAACACCCTTGTAGTAGAATCTGCAAGTGTATATTTTGACCACTTTGTAGCCTTCGTTTGAAACGTCTATATCTTCACATCAAACCTAGACAGAAGCATTCTCAGAAAGTTTTCTGCGATGACTGCATTCAACTCACAGAGTTGAACAATCCTTCTGATGGAGCAGTTTTGAAACCCTCTTTCTTTGGAATCTGCAAGGGGATATGTGGACCTCTTTGAAGATTTCACTGGAAACGGGATCATCTTCACATAAAAACTAAACAGAAGCATTCTCGGAAACTATTTTGTGATGTTTGTATTCAACTCCCAGAGTTGAACTTTCCTTTTGAAAGAGCAGCTATGAAACACTCTTTTTCGAGAATCTGCAAGTGGACGTTTGGAGGGCTTTGAGGCCTGTGGTGGAAAAGGAAATATCTTCACACAAAAACCAGATAGAAGCATTCTCAGAAACTACTTTGTGAGGATGGCATTCAACTCATGGAGTTGAACAATCCTATTGATAGAGCAGATTGGAATCACTCTTTTTGTAGAATCTGCAAATGGAGATTTGGACTGCTTTGAGGCCTACGGTAGTACAGGAAGGAACTTCATATAAAAGGCAAACGGAAGCATTCTCAGAATATTCTTTGTGATGATGGAGTTTCACTCACAGAGCTGAACATGCCTTTTGATGGAGCAGTTTCCAAATACACTTTTGGTAGAATCTGCAGGTGGATATTTGGAGCTCTCTGAGGATTTCGTTGGAAAGGGGAATAATTTCCCATAACTAAACACAAACACTCTGAGAAAGTTCTTCATGATGAATGCATTTAACTCGCAGAGATGAACCTGCCTTTGAGAGTTCAGGTTCGAAACACTCTTTCTGTATAATCTGCAAGTGGATATTTGGACCACTGGGTGGCCTTCGTTCGAAACGGGTATATGTTCACGTAAAAACTAAAGAGAAGCATTCTCAGAAACTTCTGAGTGATGATTGCATTCAAGTCACACGGTTGAACCCTCCTTTTGATGGAGCAGTTTTGAAACTGTCTTTTTGTAGAATCTGTAAGTGGATACGTGGACCTCTTTGAAGATTTCTTTGGAAACGGGAATATTTCCACAGAAAAACTAAACTGAAGCATTCTCAGAAACTGCATTGTGATGTTTGTGTTCGAGCCACAGAGTTTAACTTTGCTTTTCATAGAGCAGTTTTGAAATATTCTTTTGGCAGAATCTGCAAGTGGACATTTGGAGCGCTTTCAGGCCTGTGGTGGAAAAGGCCTGAAAGCCTTTTCCTTTATCTTCACAGAAAGACGAGAGAGAAGCATTGTCAGAAACTTCTTTGTGATGATTGCATTCAACTCACAGAGTTGAAGATTCCTTTTGAAACAGCAGTTTCGAAACACTCTTTCTGTGGGATCCGCAAGGGGATATTTGGACCTCTTTGAAGGTTTCGTTGGAAACGGGATAATCTTCACCTAAAAGCTAAACGGAAGCATTCTCAGAAACTTCTTTGGGATGTTTGCATTCACCTCACAGAGTTGAACTTTCCCTTTGATAGCGCAGCTTTGACACACTTTTTCTACAATGTGCAAGTGGCTATTTAGCGGGCTTGGAGGACTGTGTTGGAAAAGGAAATATCTTCTCCTAAAAACGACATAGAAGCATTCTCAGAAACTGCTCTGTGATGATTGCATTCAACTCCCAGAGTTGAACATTCCTTTTGATAGAGCAGTTTGCAAACACTCTTTTTGTAGAATCTGCAAGTGGAGATTTGGACCGCTTTGAGGCCTGTGGTAGTGAAGGAAAGAACTTCATATAAAAACCAGACGGTAGCACTCTCAGAAAATTCTTTGTGACGATGGAGTTTAACTCAGGGAGCTGAACATTCGTTATGATGGAGCAGTTTCCAAACACACGTTTTGTAGAATCTGCAAGGGGATATTTGGACCTCTCTGAGGATTTCGTTGGAAACGGGATCAACTTCCCATAACTGAACGGAAGCAAACTCAGAACATTCTTTGTGATGTTTGTATTCAACTCACAGAGTTGAACCTTCCTTTGATAGTTCAGGTTTGCAACACCCTTGTAGTAGAATCTGCAAGTGTATATTTTGACCACTTTGTAGCCTTCATTTGAAACGTCTATACCTTCACATCAAACCTAGACAGAAGCATTCTCAGAAAGTTTTCTGCGATGACTGCATTCAACTCACAGAGTTGAACAATCCTTCTGATGGAGCAGTTTTGAAACCCTCTTTCTTTGGAATCTGCAAGGGGATATGTGGACCTCTTTGAAGATTTCACTGGAAACGGGATCATCTTCAAATAAAAACTAAACAGAAGCATTCTCGGAAACTACTTTGTGATGTTTGTATTCAACTCCCAGAGTTGAACTTTCCTTTTGAAAGAGCAGCTATGAAACACTCTTTTTCGAGAATCTGCAAGTGGACGTTTCGAGGGCTTTGAGGCCTGTGGTGGAAAAGGAAATATCTTCACACAAAAACCAGATAGAAGCATTCTCAGAAACTACTTTGTGAGGATGGCATTCAACTCATGGAGTTGAACAATCCTATTGATAGAGCAGATTGGAATCACTCTTTTTGTAGAATCTGCAAATGGAGATTTGGACTGCTTTGAGGCCTACGGTAGTACAGGAAGGAAGTTCATATAAAAGGCAAACGGAAGCATTCTCAGAATATTCTTTGTGATGATGGAGTTTCACTCACAGAGCTGAACATGCCTTTTGATGGAGCAGTTTCCAAATACACTTTTGGTAGAATCTGCAGGTGGATATTTGGAGCTCTCTGAGGATTTCGTTGGAAACGGGAATAATTTCCCATAACTAAACACAAACACTCTGAGAAAATTCTTCATGATGAATGCATTTAACTCGCAGAGATGAACCTGCCTTTGAGAGTTCAGGTTCGAAACACTCTTTCTGTATAATCTGCAAGTGGATATTTGGACCACTGGGTGGCCTTCGTTCGAAACGGGTATATGTTCACGTAAAAACTAAAGAGAAGCATTCTCAGAAACTTCTGAGTGATGATTGCATTCAAGTCACACAGTTGAACCCTCCTTTTGATGGAGCAGTTTTGAAACTGTCTTTTTGTAGAATCTGTAAGTGGATACGTGGACCTCTTTGAAGATTTCTTTGGAAACGGGAATATTTCCACAGAAAAACTAAACTGAAGCATTCTCAGAAACTGCTTTGTGATGTTTGTGTTCGAGCCACAGAGTTTAACATTGCTTTTCATAGAGCAGTTTTGAAATATTCTTTTCGCAGAATCTGCAAGTGGACATTTGGAGCGCTTTCAGGCCTGTGGTTGCAAAGGCCTGAAAGCCTTTTCCTTTATCTTCACAGAAAGACGAGAGAGAAGCATTGTCAGAAACTTCTTTGTGATGATTGCATTCAACTCACAGAGTTGAAGATACCTTTTGAAACAGCAGTTTCGAAACACTCTTTCTGTGGGATCCGCAAGGGGATATTTGGACCTCTTTGAAGGTTTCGTTGGAAACGGGATAATCCTCACCTAAAAGCTAAACGGAAGCATTCTCAGAAACTTCTTTGGGATGTTTGCATTCACCTCACAGAGTTGAACTTTCCCTTTGATAGCGCAGCTTTGACACACTTTTTCTACAATGTGCAAGTGGCTATTTAGCGGGCTTGGAGGACTGTGTTGGAAAAGGAAATATCTTCTCCTAAAAACGACATAGAAGCATTCTCAGAAACTGCTCTGTGATGATTGCATTCAACTCCCAGAGTTGAACATTCCTTTTGATAGAGCAGTTTGCAAACACTCTTTTTGTAGAATCTGCAAGTGGAGATTTGGACCGCTTTGAGGCCTGTGGTAGTGAAGGAAAGAACTTCATATAAAAACCAGACGGTAGCACTCTCAGAAAATTCTTTGTGACGATGGAGTTTAACTCAGGGAGCTGAACATTCGTTATGATGGAGCAGTTTCCAAACACACGTTTTGTAGAATCTGCGAGGGAATATTTGGACCTCTCTGAGGATTTCGTTGGAAACGGGATCAACTTCCCATAACTGAACGGAAGCAAACTCAGAACATTCTTTGTGATGTTTGTATTCAACTCACAGAGTTGAACCTTCCTTTGATAGTTCAGGTTTGCAACACCCTTGTAGTAGAATCTGCAAGTGTATATTTTGACCACTTTGTAGCCTTCGTTTGAAACGTCTATATCTTCACATCAAACCTAGACAGAAGCATTCTCAGAAAGTTTTCTGCGATGACTGCATTCAACTCACAGAGTTGAACAATCCTTCTGATGGAGCAGTTTTGAAACCCTCTTTCTTTGGAATCTGCAAGGGGATATGTGGACCTCTTTGAAGATTTCACTGGAAACGGGATCATCTTCACATAAAAACTAAACAGAAGCATTCTCGGAAACTACTTTGTGATGTTTGTATTCAACTCCCAGAGTTGAACTTTCCTTTTGAAAGAGCAGCTATGAAACACTCTTTTTCGAGAATCTGCAAGTGGACGTTTGGAGGGCTTTGAGGCCTGTGGTGGAAAAGGAAATATCTTCACACAAAAACCAGATAGAAGCATTCTCAGAAACGACTTTGTGAGGATGGCATTCAACTCATGGAGTTGAACAATCCTATTGATAGAGCAGATTGGAATCACTCTTTTTGTAGAATCTGCAAATGGAGATTTGGACTGCTTTGAGGCCTACGGTAGTATAGGAAGGAACTTCATATAAAAGGCAAACGGAAGCATTCTCAGAATATTCTTTGTGATGATGGAGTTTCACTCACAGAGCTGAACATGCCTTTTGATGGAGCAGTTTCCAAATACACTTTTGGTAGAATCTGCAGGTGGATATTTGGAGCTCTCTGAGGATTTCGTTGGAAACGGGAATAATTTCCCATAACTAAACACAAACACTCTGAGAAAGTTCTTCATGATGAATGCATTTAACTCGCAGAGATGAACCTGCCTTTGAGAGTTCAGGTTCGAAACACTCTTTCTGTATAATCTGCAAGTGGATATTTGGACCACTGGGTGGCCTTCGTTCGAAACGGGTATATGTTCACGTAAAAACTAAAGAGAAGCATTCTCAGAAACTTCTGAGTGATGATTGCATTCAAGTCACACAGTTGAACCCTCCTTTTGATGGAGCAGTTTTGAAACTGTCTTTTTGTAGAATCTGTAAGTGGATACGTGGACCTCTTTGAAGATTTCTTTGGAAACGGGAATATTTCCACAGAAAAACTAAACTGAAGCATTCTCAGAAACCGCTTTGTGATGTTTGTGTTCGAGCCGCAGAGTTTAACATTGCTTTTCATAGAGCAGTTTTGAAATATTCTTTTGGCAGAATCTGCAAGTGGACATTTGGAGCGCTTTCAGGCCTGTGGTGGCAAAGGCCTGAAAGCCTTTTCCTTTATCTTCACAGAAAGACGAGAGAGAAGCATTGTCAGAAACTTCTTTGTGATGATTGCATTCAACTCACAGAGTTGAAGATTCCTTTTGAAACAGCAGTTTCGAAACACTCTTTCTGTGGGATCCGCAAGGGGATATTTGGACCTCTTTGAAGGTTTCGTTGGAAACGGGATAATCTTCACCTAAAAGCTAAACGGAAGCATTCTCAGAAACTTCTTTGGGATGTTTGCATTCACCTCACAGAGTTGAACTTTCCCTTTGATAGCGCAGCTTTGACACACTTTTTCTACAATGTGCAAGTGGCTATTTAGCGGGCTTGGAGGACTGTGTTGGAAAAGGAAATATCTTCTAAAAACGACATAGAAGCATTCTCAGAAACTGCTCTGTGATGATTGCATTCAACTCCCAGAGTTGAACATTCCTTTTGATAGAGCAGTTTGCAAACACTCTTTTTGTAGAATCTGCAAGTGGAGATTTGGACCGCTTTGAGGCCTGTGGTAGTGAAGGAAAGAACTTCATATAAAAACCAGACGGTAGCACTCTCAGAAAATTCTTTGTGACGATGGAGTTTAACTCAGGGAGCTGAACATTCGTTATGATGGAGCAGTTTCCAAACACACGTTTTGTAGAATCTGCGAGGGGATATTTGGACCTCTCTGAGGATTTCGTTGGAAACGGGATCAACTTCCCATAACTGAACGGAAGCAAACTCAGAACATTCTTTGTGATGTTTGTATTCAACTCACAGAGTTGAACCTTCCTTTGATAGTTCAGGTTTGCAACACCCTTGTAGTAGAATCTGCAAGTGTATATTTTGACCACTTTGTAGCCTTCGTTTGAAACGTCTATATCTTCACATCAAACCTAGACAGAAGCATTCTCAGAAAGTTTTCTGCGATGACTGCATTCAACTCACAGAGTTGAACAATCCTTCTGATGGAGCAGTTTTGAAACCCTCTTTCTTTGGAATCTGCAAGGGGATATGTGGACCTCTTTGAAGATTTCACTGGAAACGGGATCATCTTCACATAAAAACTAAACAGAAGCATTCTCGGAAACTACTTTGTGATGTTTGTATTCAACTCCCAGAGTTGAACTTTCCTTTTGAAAGAGCAGCTATGAAACACTCTTTTTCGAGAATCTGCAAGTGGACGTTTGGAAGGCTTTGAGGCCTGTGGTGGAAAAGGAAATATCTTCACATAAAAACTAGATAGAAGCATTCTCAGAAACGACTTTGTGAGGATGGCATTCAACTCATGGAGTTGAACAATCCTATTGATAGAGCAGATTGGAATCACTCTTTTTGTAGAATCTGCAAATGGAGATTTGGACTGCTTTGAGGCCTACGGTAGTATAGGAAGGAACTTCATATAAAAGGCAAACGGAAGCATTCTCAGAATATTCTTTGTGATGATGGAGTTTCACTCACAGAGCTGAACATGCCTTTTGATGGAGCAGTTTCCAAATACACTTTTGGTAGAATCTGCAGGTGGATATTTGGACCTCTCTGAGGATTTCGTTGGAAACGGGAATAATTTCCCATAACTAAACACAAACACGCTGAGAAAGTTCTTCATGATGAATGCATTGAACTCGCAGAGATGAACCTGCCTTTGAGAGTTCAGGTTCGAAACACTCTTTCTGTAGAATCTGCAAGTGGATATTTGGACCACTGGCTGGCCTTCGTTCGAAACGGGTATATGTTCACGTAAAAACTAAAGAGAAGCGTTCTCAGAAACTTCTGAGTGATGATTGCATTCAAGTCACACAGTTGAACCCTCCTTTTGATTGAGCAGTTTTGAAACTGTCTTTTTGTAGAATCTGTAAGTGGATGCGTGGACCTCTTTGAAGATTTCTTTGGAAACGGGAATATTTCCACAGAAAAACTAAACTGAAGCATTCTCAGAAACTGCTTTGTGATGTTTGTGTTCGAGCCACAGAGTTTAACATTGCTTTTCATAGAGCAGTTTTGAAATATTCTTTTGGCAGAATCTGCAAGTGGACATTTGGAGCGCTTTCAGGCCTGTGGTGGAAAAGGCCTGAAAGCCTTTTCCTTTATCTTCACAGGAAGACGAGAGAGAAGCATTGTCAGAAACTTCTTTGTGATGATTGCATTCAACTCACAGAGTTGAAGATTCCTTTTGAAACAGCAGTTTCGAAACACTCTTTCTGTGGGATCCGCAAGGGGATATTTGGACCTCTTTGAAGGTTTCGTTGGAAACGGGATAATCTTCACCTAAAAGCTAAACGGAAGCATTCTCAGAAACTTCTTTGGGATGTTTGCATTCACCTCTCAGAGTTGAACTTTCCCTTTGATAGCGCAGCTTTGACACACTTTTTCTACAATGTGCAAGTGGCTATTTAGCGGGCTTGGAGGACTGTGTTGGAAAAGGAAATATCTTCTCCTAAAAACGACATAGAAGCATTCTCAGAAACTGCTCTGTGATGATTGCATTCAACTCCCAGAGTTGAACATTCCTTTTGATAGAGCAGTTTGCAAACACTCTTTTTGTAGAATCTGCAAGTGGAGATTTGGACCGCTTTGAGGTCTGTGGTAGTGAAGGAAAGAACTTCATATAAAAACCAGACGGTAGCACTCTCAGAAAATTCTTTGTGACGATGGAGTTTAACTCAGGGAGCTGAACATTCGTTATGATGGAGCAGTTTCCAAACACACGTTTTGTAGAATCTGCAAGGGGATATTTGGACCTCTCTGAGGATTTCGTTGGAAACGGGATCAACTTCCCATAACTGAACGGAAGCAAACTCAGAACATTCTTTGTGATGTTTGTATTCAACTCACAGAGTTGAACCTTCCTTTGATAGTTCAGGTTTGCAACACCCTTGTAGTAGAATCTGCAAGTGTATATTTTGACCACTTTGTAGCCTTCGTTTGAAACGTCTATATCTTCACATCAAACCTAGACAGAAGCATTCTCAGAAAGTTTTCTGCGATGACTGCATTCAACTCACAGAGTTGAACAATCCTTCTGATGGAGCAGTTTTGAAACCCTCTTTCTTTGGAATCTGCAAGGGGATATGTGGACCTCTTTGAAGATTTCACTGGAAACGGGATCATCTTCACATAAAAACTAAACAGAAGCATTCTCGGAAACTACTTTGTGATGTTTGTATTCAACTCCCAGAGTTGAACTTTCCTTTTGAAAGAGCAGCTATGAAACACTCTTTTTCGAGAATCTGCAAGTGGACGTTTGGAGGGCTTTGAGGCCTGTGGTGGAAAAGGAAATATCTTCACATAAAAACTAGATAGAAGCATTCTCAGAAACGACTTTGTGAGGATGGCATTCAACTCATGGAGTTGAACAATCCTATTGATAGAGCAGATTGGAATCACTCTTTTTGTAGAATCTGCAAATGGAGATTTGGACTGCTTTGAGGCCTACGGTCGTATAGGAAGGAACTTCATATAAAAGGCAAACGGAAGCATTCTCAGAATATTCTTTGTGATGATGGAGTTTCACTCACAGAGCTGAACATGCCTTTTGATGGAGCAGTTTCCAAATACACTTTTGGTAGAATCTGCAGGTGGATATTTGGAGCTCTCTGAGGATTTCGTTGGAAACGGGAATAATTTCCCATAACTAAACACAAACACTCTGAGAAAGTTCTTCATGATGAATGCATTTAACTCGCAGAGATGAACCTGTCTTTGAGAGTTCAGGTTCGAAACACTCTTTCTGTAGAATCTGCAAGTGGATATTTGGACCACTGGCTGGCCTTCGTTCGAAACGGGTATAAGTTCACGTAAAAACTAAAGAGAAGCATTCTCAGAAACTTCTGAGTGATGATTGCATTCAAGTCACACAGTTGAACCCTCCTTTTGATGGAGCAGTTTTGAAACTGTCTTTTTGTAGAATCTGTAAGTGGATACGTGGACCTCTTTGAAGATTTCTTTGGAAACGGGAATATTTCCACAGAAAAACTAAACTGAAGCATTCTCAGAAACCGCTTTGTGATGTTTGTGTTCGAGCCACAGAGTTTAACATTGCTTTTCATAGAGCAGTTTTGAAATATTCTTTTGGCAGAATCTGCAAGTGGACATTTGGAGCGCTTTCAGGCCTGTGGTGGAAAAGGCCTGAAAGCCTTTTCCTTTACCTTCACAGAAAGACGAGAGAGAAGCATTGTCAGAAACTTCTTTGTGATGATTGCATTCAACTCACAGAGTTGAAGATTCCTTTTGAAACAGCAGTTTCGAAACACTCTTTCTGTGGGATCCGCAAGGGGATATTTGGACCTCTTTGAAGGTTTCGTTGGAAACGGGATAATCTTAACCTAAAAGCTAAACGGAAGCATTCTCAGAAACTTCTTTGGGATGTTTGCATTCACCTCACAGAGTTGAACTTTCCCTTTGATAGCGCAGCTTTGACACACTTTTTCTACAATGTGCAAGTGGCTATTTAGCGGGCTTGGAGGACTGTGTTGGAAAAGGTAATATCTTCTCCTAAAAACGACATAGAAGCATTCTCAGAAACTGCTCTGTGATGATTGCATTCAACTCCCAGGGTTGAACATTCCTTTTGATAGAGCAGTTTGCAAACACTCTTTTTGTAGAATCTGCAAGTGGAGATTTGGACCGCTTTGAGGCCTGTGGTAGTGAAGAAAAGAGCTTCATATAAAAACCAGACGGTAGCACTCTCAGAAAATTCTTTGTGACGATGGAGTTTAACTCAGGGAGCTGAACATTCGTTATGATGGAGCAGTTTCCAAACACACGTTTTGTAGAATCTGCAAGGGGATATTTGGACCTCTCTGAGGATTTCGTTGGAAACGGGATCAACTTCCCATAACTGAACGGAAGCAAACTCAGAACATTCTTTGTGATGTTTGTATTCAACTCACAGAGTTGAACCTTCCTTTGATAGTTCAGGTTTGCAACACCCTTGTAGTAGAATCTGCAAGTGTATATTTTGACCACTTTGTAGCCTTCGTTTGAAACGTCTATATCTTCACATCAAACCTAGACAGAAGCATTCTCAGAAAGTTTTCTGCGATGACTGCATTCAACTCACAGAGTTGAACAATCCTTCTGATGGAGCAGTTTTGAAACCCTCTTTCTTTGGAATCTGCAAGGGGATATGTGGACCTCTTTGAAGATTTCACTGGAAACGGGATCATCTTCACATAAAAACTAAACAGAAGCATTCTCGGAAACTACTTTGTGATGTTTGTATTCAACTCCCAGAGTTGAACTTTCCTTTTGAAAGAGCAGCTATGAAACACTCTTTTTCGAGAATCTGCAAGTGGACGTTTGGAGGGCTTTGAGGCCTGTGGTGGAAAAGGAAATATCTTCACATTAAAACTAGATAGAAGCATTCTCAGAAACGACTTTGTGAGGATGGCATTCAACTCATGGAGTTGAACAATCCTATTGATAGAGCAGATTGGAATCACTCTTTTTGTAGAATCTGCAAATGGAGATTTGGACTGCTTTGAGGCCTACGGTCGTATAGGAAGGAACTTCATATAAAAGGCAAACGGAAGCATTCTCAGAATATTCTTTGTGATGATGGAGTTTCACTCACAGAGCTGAACATGCCTTTTGATGGAGCAGTTTCCAAATACACTTTTGGTAGAATCTGCAGGTGGATATTTGGAGCTCTCTGAGGATTTCGTTGGAAACGGGAATAATTTCCCATAACTAAACACAAACACTCTGAGAAAGTTCTTCATGATGAATGCATTTAACTCGCAGAGATGAACCTGCCTTTGAGAGTTCAGGTTCGAAACACTCTTTCTGTAGAATCTGCAAGTGGATATTTGGACCACTGTGTGGCCTTCGTTCGAAACGGGTATATGTTCACGTAAAAACTAAAGAGAAGCATTCTCAGAAACTTGTGAGTGATGATTGCATTCAAGTCACACAGTAGAACCCTCCTTTTGATGGAGCAGTTTTGAAACTGTCTTTTTGTAGAATCTGTAAGTGGATACGTGGACCTCTTTGAAGATTTCTTTGGAAACGGGAATATTTCCACAGAAAAACTAAACTGAAGCATTCTCAGAAACTGCTTTGTGATGTTTGTGTTCGAGCCACAGAGTTTAACATTGCTTTTCATAGAGCAGTTTTGAAATATTCTTTTGGCAGAATCTGCAAGTGGACATTTGGAGCGCTTTCAGGCCTGTGGTGGAAAAGGCCTGAAAGCCTTTTCCTTTATCTTCACAGAAAGACGAGAGAGAAGCATTGTCAGAAACTTCTTTGTGATGATTGCATTCAACTCACAGAGTTGAAGATTCCTTTTGAAACAGCAGTTTCGAAACACTCTTTCTGTGGGATCCGCAAGGGGATATTTGGACCTACTTTGAAGGTTTCGTTGGAAACGGGATAATCTTCACCTAAAAGCTAAACGGAAGCATTCTCAGCAAACTTCTTTGGGATGTTTGCATTCACCTCACAGAGTTGAACTTTCCCTTTGATAGCGCAGCTTTGACACACTTTTTCTACAATGTGCAAGTGGCTATTTAGCGGGCTTGGAGGACTGTGTTGGAAAAGGAAATATCTTCTCCTAAAAACGACATAGAAGCATTCTCAGAAACTGCTCTGTGATGATTGCATTCAACTCCCAGAGTTGAACATTCCTTTTGATAGAGCAGTTTGCAAACACTCTTTTTGTAGAATCTGCAAGTGGAGATTTGGACCGCTTTGAGGCCTGTGGTAGTAAAGGAAAGAACTTCATATAAAAACCAGACGGTAGCACTCTCAGAAAATTCTTTGTGACGATGGAGTTTAACTCAGAGAGCTGAACATTCGTTATGATGGAGCAGTTTCCAAACACACGTTTTGTAGAATCTGCAAGGGGATATTTGGACCTCTCTGAGGATTTCGTTGGAAACGGTATCAATTTCCCATAACTAAACGGAAGCAAACTCAGAACATTCTTTGTGATGTTTGCATTCATCTCACAGAGTTGAACCTTCCTTTGATAGTTGAGGTTTGCAACACCCTTGTAGTAGAATCTGCAAGTGTATATTTTGACCACATTGTAGCCTTCGTTTGAAACGTCTATATCTTCACATCAAACCTAGACAGAAGCATCCTCAGAAAGTTTTCTGCGATGACTGCATTCAACTCACAGAGTTGAACAATCCTTTTGATGGAGCAGTTTTGAAACCCTCTTTCTTTGGAATCTGCAAGGGGATATGTGGACCTCTTTGAAGATTTCACTGGAAACGGGATCATCTTCACATAAGAACTAAACAGAAGCATTCTCGGAAACTACTTTGTGATGTTTGTATTCAACTCCCAGAGTTGAACTTTCCTTTTGAAAGAGCAGCTATGAAACACTCTTTTTCGAGAATCTGCAAGTGGACGTTTGGAGGGCTTTGAGGCCTGTGGTGGAAAAGGAAATATCTTCACATAAAAACTACATAGAAGCATTCTCAGAAACTACTTTGTGAGGATGGCATTCAACTCATGGAGTTGAACAATCCTATTGATAGAGCAGATTGGAATCACTCTTTTTGTAGAATCTGCAAATGGAGATTTGGACTGCTTTGAGGCCTACGGTAGTATAGGAAGGAACTTCATATAAAAGGCAAACGGAAGCATTCTCAGAATATTCTTTGTGATGATGGAGTTTCACTCACAGAGCTGAACATGCCTTTTGATGGAGCAGTTTCCAAATACACTTTTGGTAGAATCTGCAGGTGGATATTTGGAGCTCTCTGAGGATTTCGTTGGAAACGGGAATAATTTCCCATAACTAAGCACAAACACTCTGAGAAAGTTCTTCATGATGAATGCATTCAACTCGCAGAGATGAACCTGCCTTTGAGAGTTCAGGTTCGAAACACTCTTTCTGTAGAATCTGCAAGTGGATATTTGGACCACTGGCTGGCCTTCGTTCGAAACGGGTATATGTTCACGTAAAAACTAAAGAGAAGCATTCTCAGAAACTTCTGAGTGATGATTGCATTCAAGTCACACAGTTGAACCCTCCTTTTGATGGAGCAGTTTTGAAACTGTCTTTTTGTAGAATCTGTAAGTGGATACGTGGACCTCTTTGAAGATTTCTTTGGAAACGGGAATATTTCCACAGAAAAACTAAACTGAAACATTCTCAAAAACCGCTTTGTGATGTTTGTGTTCGAGCCACAGAGTTTAACATTGCTTTTCATAGAGCAGTTTTGAAATATTCTTTTGGCAGAATCTGCAAGTGGACATTTGGAGCGCTTTCAGGCCTGTGGTGGCAAAGGCCTGAAAGCCTTTTCCTTTATCTTCACAGAAAGACGAGAGAGAAGCATTGTCAGAAACTTCTTTGTGATGATTGCATTCAACTCACAGAGTTGAAGATTCCTTTTGAAACAGCAGTTTCGAAACACTCTTTCTGTGGGATCCGCAAGGGGATATTTGGACCTCTTTGAAGGTTTCGTTGGAAACGGGATAATCTTCACCTAAAAGCTAAACGGAAGCATTCTCAGAAACTTCTTTGGGATGTTTGCATTCACCTCACAGAGTTGAACTTTCCCTTTGATAGCGCAGCTTTGACACACTTTTTCTACAATGTGCAAGTGGCTATTTAGCGGGCTTGGAGGACTGTGTTGGAAAAGGAAATATCTTCTCCTAAAAACGACATAGAAGCATTCTCAGAAACTGCTCTGTGATGATTGCATTCAACTCCCAGAGTTGAACATTCCTTTTGATAGAGCAGTTTGCAAACACTCTTTTTGTAGAATCTGCAAGTGGAGATTTGGACCGCTTTGAGGCCTGTGGTAGTGAAGGAAAGAACTTCATATAAAAACCAGACGGTAGCACTCTCAGAAAATTCTTTGTGACGATGGAGTTTAACTCAGGGAGCTGAACATTCGTTATGATGGAGCAGTTTCCAAACACACGTTTTGTAGAATCTGCGAGGGGATATTTGGACCTCTCTGAGGATTTCGTTGGAAACGGGATCAACTTCCCATAACTGAACGGAAGCAAACTCAGAACATTCTTTGTGATGTTTGTATTCAACTCACAGAGTTGAACCTTCCTTTGATAGTTCAGGTTTGCAACACCCTTGTAGTAGAATCTGCAAGTGTATATTTTGAACACTTTGTAGCCTTCGTTTGAAACGTCTATATCTTCACATCAAACCTAGACAGAAGCATTCTCAGAAAGTTTTCTGCGATGACTGCATTCAACTCACAGAGTTGAACAATCCTTCTGATGGAGCAGTTTTGAAACCCTCTTTCTTTGGAATCTGCAAGGGGATATGTGGACCTCTTTGAAGATTTCACTGGAAACGGGATCATCTTCACATAAAAACTAAACAGAAGCATTCTCGGAAACTACTTTGTGATGTTTGTATTCAACTCCCAGAGTTGAACTTTCCT
Source organism: Homo sapiens (assembly GCF_000001405.40). Taxonomy (NCBI): domain Eukaryota; kingdom Metazoa; phylum Chordata; class Mammalia; order Primates; family Hominidae; genus Homo; species Homo sapiens. The sequence continues at coordinate 59,953,012 of NC_000023.11, forward strand.
TTTGAAAGAGCAGCTATGAAACACTCTTTTTCGAGAATCTGCAAGTGGACGTTTGGAAGGCTTTGAGGCCTGTGGTGGAAAAGGAAATATCTTCACATAAAAACTAGATAGAAGCATTCTCAGAAACTACTTTGTGAGGATGGCATTCAACTCATGGAGTTGAACAATCCTATTGATAGAGCAGATTGGAATCACTCTTTTTGTAGAATCTGCAAATGGAGATTTGGACTGCTTTGAGGCCTACGGTCGTATAGGAAGGAACTTCATATAAAAGGCAAACGGAAGCATTCTCAGAATATTCTTTGTGATGATGGAGTTTCACTCACAGAGCTGAACATGCCTTTTGATGGAGCAGTTTCCAAATACACTTTTGGTAGAATCTGCAGGTGGATATTTGGAGCTCTCTGAGGATTTCGTTGGAAACGGGAATAATTTCCCATAACTAAACACAAACACGCTGAGAAAGTTCTTCATGATGAATGCATTGAACTCGCAGAGATGAACCTGCCTTTGAGAGTTCAGGTTCGAAACACTCTTTCTGTAGAATCTGCAAGTGGATATTTGGACCACTGGCTGGCCTTCGTTCGAAACGGGTATATGTTCACGTAAAAACTAAAGAGAAGCGTTCTCAGAAACTTCTGAGTGATGATTGCATTCAAGTCACACAGTTGAACCCTCCTTTTGATTGAGCAGTTTTGAAACTGTCTTTTTGTAGAATCTGTAAGTGGATGCGTGGACCTCTTTGAAGATTTCTTTGGAAACGGGAATATTTCCACAGAAAAACTAAACTGAAGCATTCTCTGAAACTGCTTTGTGATGTTTGTGTTCGAGCCGCAGAGTTTAACATTGCTTTTCATAGAGCAGTTTTGAAATATTCTTTTGGAAGAATCTGCAAGTGGACATTTGGAGCGCTTTCAGGCCTGTGGTGGAAAAGGCCTGAAAGCCTTTTCCTTTATCTTCACAGAAAGACGAGAGAGAAGCATTGTCAGAAACTTCTTTGTGATGATTGCATTCAACTCACAGAGTTGAAGATTCCTTTTGAAACAGCAGTTTCGAAACACTCTTTCTGTGGGATCCGCAAGGGGATATTTGGACCTCTTTGAAGATTTCGTTGGAAACGGGATAATCTTCACCTAAAAGCTAAACGGAAGCATTCTCAGAAACTTCTTTGGGAAGTTTGCATTCACCTCACAGAGTTGAATTTTCCCTTTGATAGCGCAGCTTCGACACACTTTTTCTACAATGTGCAAGTGGATATTTAGCGGGCTTGGAGGACTGTGTTGGAAAAGGAAATATCTTCTCCTAAAAACGACATAGAAGCATTCTCAGAAACTGCTCTGTGATGATTGCATTCAACTCCCAGAGTTGAACATTCCTTTTGATAGAGCAGTTTGCAAACACTCTTTTTGTAGAATCTGCAAGTGGAGATTTGGACCGCTTTGAGGCCTGTGGTAGTAAAGGAAAGAACTTCATATAAAAACTAGACGGTAGCACTCTCAGAAAATTCTTTGTGACGATGGAGTTTAACTCAGGGAGCTGAACATTCGTTATGATGGAGCAGTTTCCAAACACACGTTTTGTAGAATCTGCAAGGGGATATTTGGACCTCTCTGAGGATTTCGTTGGAAACGGGATCAACTTCCCATAACTGAACGGAAGCAAACTCAGAACATTCTTTGTGATGTTTGTATTCAACTCACAGAGTTGAACCTTCCTTTGATAGTTCAGGTTTGCAACACCCTTGTAGTAGAATCTGCAAGTGTATATTTTGACCACTTTGTAGCCTTCGTTTGAAACGTCTATATCTTCACATCAAACCTAGACAGAAGCATTCTCAGAAAGTTTTCTGCGATGACTGCATTCAACTCACAGAGTTGAACAATCCTTCTGATGGAGCAGTTTTGAAACCCTCTTTCGTTGGAATCTGCAAGGGGATATGTGGACCTCTTTGAAGATTTCACTGGAAACGGGATCATCTTCACATAAAAACTAAACAGAAGCATTCTCGGAAACTACTTTGTGATGTTTGTATTCAACTCCCAGAGTTGAACTTTCCTTTTGAAAGAGCAGCTATGAAACACTCTTTTTCGAGAATCTGCAAGTGGACGTTTGGAAGGCTTTGAGGCCTGTGGTGGAAAAGGAAATATCTTCACATAAAAACTAGATAGAAGCATTCTCAGCAACGACTTTGTGAGGATGGCATTCAACTCATGGAGTTGAACAATCCTATTGATAGAGCAGATTGGAATCACTCTTTTTATAGAATCTGCAAATGGAGATTTGGACTGCTTTGAGGCCTACGGTAGTACAGGAAGGAACTTCATATAAAAGGCAAACGGAAGCATTCTCAGAATATTCTTTGTGATGATGGAGTTTCACTCACAGAGCTGAACATGCCTTTTGATGGAGCAGTTTCCAAATACACTTTTGGTAGAATCTGCAGGTGGATATTTGGAGCTCTCTGAGGATTTCGTTGGAAACGGGAATAATTTCCCATAACTAAACACAAACACTCTGAGAAAGTTCTTCATGATGAATGCATTTAACTCGCAGAGATGAACCTGCCTTTGAGAGTTCAGGTTCGAAACACTCTTTCTGTATAATCTGCAAGTGGATATTTGGACCACTGGGTGGCCTTCGTTCGAAACGGGTATATGTTCACGTAAAAACTAAAGAGAAGCATTCTCAGAAACTTCTGAGTGATGATTGCATTCAAGTCACACAGTTGAACCCTCCTTTTGATGGAGCAGTTTTGAAACTGTCTTTTTGTAGAATCTGTAAGTGGATGCGTGGACCTCTTTGAAGATTTCTTTGGAAACGGGAATATTTCCACAGAAAAACTAAACTGAAGCATTCTCAGAAACTGCTTTGTGATGTTTGTGTTCGAGCCACAGAGTTTAACATTGCTTTTCATAGAGCAGTTTTGAAATATTCTTTTGGCAGAATCTGCAAGTGGACATTTGGAGCGCTTTCAGGCCTGTGGTGGCAAAGGCCTGAAAGCCTTTTCCTTTATCTTCACAGAAAGACGAGAGAGAAGCATTGTCAGAAACTTCTTTGTGATGATTGCATTCAACTCACAGAGTTGAAGATTCCTTTTGAAACAGCAGTTTCGAAACACTCTTTCTGTGGGATCCGCAAGGGGATATTTGGACCTCTTTGAAGGTTTCGTTGGAAACGGGATAATCTTCACCTAAAAGCTAAACGGAAGCATTCTCAGAAACTTCTTTGGGATGTTTGCATTCACCTCACAGAGTTGAACTTTCCCTTTGATAGCGCAGCTTTGACACACTTTTTCTACAATGTGCAAGTGGCTATTTAGCGGGCTTGGAGGACTGTGTTGGAAAAGGAAATATCTTCTCCTAAAAACGACATAGAAGCATTCTCAGAAACTGCTCTGTGATGATTGCATTCAACTCCCAGAGTTGAACATTCCTTTTGATAGAGCAGTTTGCAAACACTCTTTTTGTAGAATCTGCAAGTGGAGATTTGGACCGCTTTGAGGCCTGTGGTAGTGAAGGAAAGAACTTCATATAAAAACCAGACGGTAGCACTCTCAGAAAATTCTTTGTGACGATGGAGTTTAACTCAGGGAGCTGAACATTCGTTATGATGGAGCAGTTTCCAAACACACGTTTTGTAGAATCTGCGAGGGGATATTTGGACCTCTCTGAGGATTTCGTTGGAAACGGGATCAACTTCCCATAACTGAACGGAAGCAAACTCAGAACATTCTTTGTGATGTTTGTATTCAACTCACAGAGTTGAACCTTCCTTTGATAGTTCAGGTTTGCAACACCCTTGTAGTAGAATCTGCAAGTGTATATTTTGACCACTTTGTAGCCTTCGTTTGAAACGTCTATATCTTCACATCAAACCTAGACAGAAGCTTTCTCAGAAAGTTTTCTGCGATGACTGCATTCAACTCACAGAGTTGAACAATCCTTCTGATGGAGCAGTTTTGAAACCCTCTTTCTTTGGAATCTGCAAGGGGATATGTGGACCTCTTTGAAGATTTCACTGGAAACGGGATCATCTTCACATAAAAACTAAACAGAAGCATTCTCGGAAACTACTTTGTGATGTTTGTATTCAACTCCCAGAGTTGAACTTTCCTTTGGAAAGAGCAGCTATGAAACACTCTTTTTCGAGAATCTGCAAGTGGACGTTTGGAGGGCTTTGAGGCCTGTGGTGGAAAAGGAAATATCTTCACACAAAAACCAGATAGAAGCATTCTCAGAAACTACTTTGTGAGGATGGCATTCAACTCATGGAGTTGAACAATCCTATTGATAGAGCAGATTGGAATCACTCTTTTTATAGAATCTGCAAATGGAGATTTGGACTGCTTTGAGGCCTACGGTAGTACAGGAAGGAACTTCATATAAAAGGCAAACGGAAGCATTCTCAGAATATTCTTTGTGATGATGGAGTTTCACTCACAGAGCTGAACATGCCTTTTGATGGAGCAGTTTCCAAATACACTTTTGGTAGAATCTGCAGGTGGATATTTGGAGCTCTCTGAGGATTTCGTTGGAAACGGGAATAATTTCCCATAACTAAACACAAACACTCTGAGAAAGTTCTTCATGATGAATGCATTTAACTCGCAGAGATGAACCTGCCTTTGAGAGTTCAGGTTCGAAACACTCTTTCTGTAGAATCTGCAAGTGGATATTTGGACCACTGGGTGGCCTTCGTTCGAAACGGGTATATGTTCACGTAAAAACTAAAGAGAAGCATTCTCAGAAACTTCTGAGTGATGATTGCATTCAAGTCACACAGTTGAACCCTCCTTTTGATGGAGCAGTTTTGAAACTGTCTTTTTGTAGAATCTGTAAGTGGATACGTGGACCTCTTTGAAGATTTCTTTGGAAACGGGAGTATTTCCACAGAAAATCTAAACTGAAGCATTCTCAGAAACTGCTTTGTGATGTTTGTGTTCGAGCCACAGAGTTTAACATTGCTTTTCATAGAGCAGTTTTGAAATATTCTTTTGGCAGAATCTGCAAGTGGACATTTGGAGCGCTTTCAGGCCTGTGGTGGAAAAGGCCTGAAAGCCTTTTCCTTTATCTTCACAGAAAGACGAGAGAGAAGCATTGTCAGAAACTTCTTTTTGATGATTGCATTCAACTCACAGAGTTGAAGATTCCTTTTGAAACAGCAGTTTCGAAACACTCTTTCTGTGGGATCCGCAAGGGGATATTTGGACCTCTTTGAAGGTTTCGTTGGAAACGGGATAATCTTCACCTAAAAGCTAAACGGAAGCATTCTCAGAAACTTCTTTGGGATGTTTGCATTCACCTCACAGAGTTGAACTTTCCCTTTGATAGCGCAGCTTTGACACACTTTTTCTACAATGTGCAAGTGGCTATTTAGCGGGCTTGGAGGACTGTGTTGGAAAAGGAAATATCTTCTCCTAAAAACGACATAGAAGCATTCTCAGAAACTGCTCTGTGATGATTGCATTCAACTCCCAGAGTTGAACATTCCTTTTGATAGAGCAGTTTGCAAACACTCTTTTTGTAGAATCTGCAAGTGGAGATTTGGACCGCTTTGAGGCCTGTGGTAGTGAAGGAAAGAACTTCATATAAAAACCAGACGGTAGCACTCTCAGAAAATTCTTTGTGACGATGGAGTTTAACTCAGGGAGCTGAACATTCGTTATGATGGAGCAGTTTCCAAACACACGTTTTGTAGAATCTGCGAGGGGATATTTGGACCTCTCTGAGGATTTCGTTGGAAACGGGATCAACTTCCCATAACTGAACGGAAGCAAACTCAGAACATTCTTTGTGATGTTTGTATTCAATTCACAGAGTTGAACCTTCCTTTGATAGTTCAGGTTTGCAACACCCTTGTAGTAGAATCTGCAAGTGTATATTTTGACCACTTTGTAGCCTTCGTTTGAAACGTCTATATCTTCACATCAAACCTAGACAGAAGCATTCTCAGAAAGTTTTCTGCGATGACTGCATTCAACTCACAGAGTTGAACAATCCTTCTGATGGAGCAGTTTTGAAACCCTCTTTCTTTGGAATCTGCAAGGGGATATGTGGACCTCTTTGAAGATTTCACTGGAAACGGGATCATCTTCACATAAAAACTAAACAGAAGCATTCTCGGAAACTACTTTGTGATGTTTGTATTCAACTGCCAGAGTTGAACTTTCCTTTTGAAAGAGCAGCTATGAAACACTCTTTTTCGAGAATCTGCAAGTGGACGTTTGGAGGGCTTTGAGGCCTGTGGTGGAAAAGGAAATATCTTCACATAAAAACTAGATAGAAGCATTCTCAGAAACGACTTTGTGAGGATGGCATTCAACTCATGGAGTTGAACAATCCTATTGATAGAGCAGATTGGAATCACTCTTTTTGTAGAATCTGCAAATGGAGATTTGGACTGCTTTGAGGCCTACGGTAGTATAGGAAGGAACTTCATATAAAAGGCAAACGGAAGCATTCTCAGAATATTCTTTGTGATGATGGAGTTTCACTCACAGAGCTGAACATGCCTTTTGATGGAGCAGTTTCCAAATACACTTTTGGTAGAATCTGCAGGTGGATATTTGGAGCTCTCTGAGGATTTCGTTGGAAACGGGAATAATTTCCCATAACTAAACACAAACACTCTGAGAAAGTTCTTCATGATGAATGCATTGAACTCTCAGAGATGAACCTGCCTTTGAGAGTTCAGGTTCGAAACACTCTTTCTGTAGAATCTGCAAGTGGATATTTGGACCACTGGCTGGCCTTCGTTCGAAACGGGTATATGTTCACGTAAAAACTAAAGAGAAGCATTCTCAGAAACTTCTGAGTGATGATTGCATTCAAGTCACACAGTTGAACCCTCCTTTTGATGGAGCAGTTTTGAAACTGTCTTTTTGTAGAATCTGTAAGTGGATACGTGGACCTCTTTGAAGATTTCTTTGGAAACGGGAATATTTCCACAGAAAAACTAAACTGAAGCATTCTCAGAAACTGCTTTGTGATGTTTGTGTTCGAGCCACAGAGTTTAACATTGCTTTTCATAGAGCAGTTTTGAAATATTCTTTTGGCAGAATCTGCAAGTGGACATTTGGAGCGCTTTCAGGCCTGTGGTTGGGAAAAGGCCTGAAAGCCTTTTCCTTTATCTTCACAGAAAGACGAGAGAGAAGCATTGTCAGAAACTTCTTTGTGATGATTGCATTCAACTCACAGAGTTGAAGATTCCTTTTGAAACAGCAGTTTCGAAACACTCTTTCTGTGGGATCCGCAAGGGGATATTTGGACCTCTTTGAAGGTTTCGTTGGAAACGGGATAATCTTCACCTAAAAGCTAAACGGAAGCATTCTCAGAAACTTCTTTGGGATGTTTGCATTCACCTCACAGAGTTGAACTTTCCCTTTGATAGCGCAGCTTTGACACACTTTTTCTACAATGTGCAAGTGGCTATTTAGCGGGCTTGGAGGACTGTGTTGGAAAAGGAAATATCTTCTCCTAAAAACGACATAGAAGCATTCTCAGAAACTGCTCTGTGATGATTGCATTCAACTCCCAGAGTTGAACATTCCTTTTGATAGAGCAGTTTGCAAACACTCTTTTTGTAGAATCTGGAAGTGGAGATTTGGACCGCTTTGAGGCCTGTGATAGTGAAGGAAAGAGCTTCATATAAAAACCAGACGGTTAGCACTCTCAGAAAATTCTTTGTGACGATGGAGTTTAACTCAGGGAGCTGGACATTCGTTATGATGGAGCAGTTTCCAAACACACGTTTTGTAGAATCTGCAAGGGGATATTTGGACCTCTCTGAGGATTTCGTTGGAAACGGGATCAACTTCCCATAACTGAACGGAAGCAAACTCAGAACATTCTTTGTGATGTTTGTATTCAACTCACAGAGTTGAACCTTCCTTTGATAGTTCAGGTTTGCAACACCCTTGTAGTAGAATCTGCAAGTGTATATTTTGACCACTTTGTAGCCTTCGTTTGAAACGTCTATATCTTCACATCAAACCTAGAAAGAAGCATTCTCAGAAAGTTTTCTGCGATGACTGCATTCCACTCACAGAGTTGAACAATCCTTCTGATGGAGCAGTTTTGAAACCCTCTTTCTTTGGAATCTGCAAGGGGATATGTGGACCTCTTTGAAGATTTCACTGGAAACGGGATCATCTTCACATAAAAACTAAACAGAAGCATTCTCGGAAACTACTTTGTGATGTTTGTATTCAACTCCCAGAGTTGAACTTTCCTTTTGAAAGAGCAGCTATGAAACACTCTTTTTCGAGAATCTGCAAGTGGACGTTTGGAGGGCTTTGAGGCCTGTGGTGGAAAAGGAAATATCTTCACATTAAAACTAGATAGAAGCATTCTCAGAAACTACTTTGTGAGGATGGCATTCAACTCATGGAGTTGAACAATCCTATTGATAGAGCAGATTGGAATCACTCTTTTTGTAGAATCTGCAAACGGAGATTTGGACTGCTTTGAGGCCTACGGTAGTATAGGAAGGAACTTCATATAAAAGGCAAACGGAAGCATTCTCAGAATATTCTTTGTGATGATGGAGTTTCACTCACAGAGCTGAACATGCCTTTTGATGGAGCAGTTTCCAAATACACTTTTGGTAGAATCTGCAGGTGGATATTTGGAGCTCTCTGAGGATTTCGTTGGAAACGGGAATAATTTCCCATAACTAAACACAAACACTCTGAGAAAGTTCTTCATGATGAATGCATTTAACTCGCAGAGATGAACGTGCCTTTGAGAGTTCAGGTTCGAAACACTCTTTCTGTAGAATCTGCAAGTGGATATTTGGACCACTGGCTGGCCTTCGTTCGAAACGGGTATATGTTCACGTAAAAACTAAAGAGAAGCATTCTCAGAAACTTCTGAGTGATGATTGCATTCAAGTCACACAGTTGAACCCTCCTTTTGATGGAGCAGTTTTGAAACTGTCTTTTTGTAGAATCTGTAAGTGGATACGTGGACCTCTTTGAAGATTTCTTTGGAAACGGGAATATTTCCACAGAAAAACTAAACTGAAGCATTCTCAGAAACTGCTTTGTGATGTTTGTGTTCGAGCCACAGAGTTTAACATTGCTTTTCATAGAGCAGTTTTCAAATATTCTTTTCACAGAATCTGCAAGTGGACATTTGGAGCGCTTTCAGGCCTGTGGTGGAAAAGGCCTGAAAGCCTTTTCCTTTATCTTCACAGAAAGACGAGAGAGAAAGCATTGTCAGAAACTTCTTTGTGATGATTGCATTCAACTCACAGTAGTTGAAGATTCCTTTTGAAACAGCAGTTTCGAAACACTCTTTCTGTGGGATCCGCAAGGGGATATTTGGACCTCTTTGAAGGTTTCGTTGGAAACGGGATAATCTTCACCTAAAAGCTAAACGGAAGCATTCTCAGAAACTTCTTTGGGATGTTTGCATTCACCTCACAGAGTTGAACTTTCCCTTTGATAGCGCAGCTTCGACACACTTTTTCTACAATGTGCAAGTGGCTATTTAGCGGGCTTGGAGGACTGTGTTGGAAAAGGAAATATCTTCTCCTAAAAACGACATAGAAGCATTCTCAGAAACTGCTCTGTGATGATTGCATTCAACTCCCAGAGTTGAACATTCCTTTTGATAGAGCAGTTTGCAAACACTCTTTTTGTAGAATCTGCAAGTGGAGATTTGGACCGCTTTGAGGCCTGTGGTAGTGAAGGAAAGAACTTCATATAAAAACCAGACGGTAGCACTCTCAGAAAATTCTTTGTGACGATGGAGTTTAACTCAGGGAGCTGAACATTCGTTATGATGGAGCAGTTTCCAAACACACGTTTTGTAGAATCTGCAAGGGGATATTTGGACCTCTCTGAGGATTTCGTTGGAAACGGGATCAACTTCCCATAACTGAACGGAAGCAAACTCAGAACATTCTTTGTGATGTTTGTATTCAACTCACAGAGTTGAACCTTCCTTTGATAGTTCAGGTTTGCAACACCCTTGTAGTAGAATCTGCAAGTGTATATTTTGACCACTGTGTAGCCTTCGTTTGAAACGTCTATATCTTCACATCAAACCTAGACAGAAGCATTCTCAGAAAGTTTTCTGCGATGACTGCATTCAACTCACAGAGTTGAACAATCCTTTTGATGGAGCAGTTTTGAAACCCTCTTTCTTTGGAATCTGCAAGGGGATATGTGGACCTACTTTGAAGATTTCACTGGAAACGGGATCATCTTCACATAAGAACTAAACAGAAAGCATTCTCTGAAACTACTTTGTGATGTTTGTATTCAACTGCCAGAGTTGAACTTTCCTTTTGAAAGAGCAGCTATGAAACACTCTTTTTCGAGAATCTGCAAGTGGACGTTTGGAGGGCTTTGAGGCCTGTGGTGGAAAAGGAAATATCTTCACACAAAAACCAGATAGAAGCATTCTCAGAAACTGCTTTGTGAGGATGGCATTCAACTCATGGAGTTGAACAATCCTATTGATAGAGCAGATTGGAATCACTCTTTTTGTAGAATCTGCAAATGGAGATTTGGACTGCTTTGAGGCCTACGGTAGTACAGGAAGGAACTTCATATAAAAGGCAAACGGAAGCATTCTCAGAATATTCTTTGTGATGATGGAGTTTCACTCACAGAGCTGAACATGCCTTTTGATGGAGCAGTTTCCAAATACACTTTTGGTAGAATCTGCAGGTGGATATTTGGAGCTCTCTGAGGATTTCGTTGGAAACGGGAATAATTTCCCATAACTAAACACAAACACTCTGAGAAAGTTCTTCATGATGAATGCATTTAACTCGCAGAGATGAACCTGCCTTTGAGAGTTCAGGTTCGAAACACTCTTTCTGTATAATCTGCAAGTGGATATTTGGACCACTGGGTGGCCTTCGTTCGAAACGGGTATATGTTCACGTAAAAACTAAAGAGAAGCATTCTCAGAAACTTCTGAGTGATGATTGCATTCAAGTCACACAGTTGAACCCTCCTTTTGATGGAGCAGTTTTGAAACTGTCTTTTTGTAGAATCTGTAAGTGGATACGTGGACCTCTTTGAAGATTTCTTTGGAAACGGGAATATTTCCACAGAAAAACTAAACTGAAGCATTCTCAGAAACCGCTTTGTGATGTTTGTGTTCGAGCCACAGAGTTTAACATTGCTTTTCATAGAGCAGTTTTGAAATATTCTTTTCGCAGAATCTGCAAGTGGACATTTGGAGCGCTTTCAGGCCTGTGGTGGAAAAGGCCTGAAAGCCTTTTCCTTTATCTTCACAGAAAGACGAGAGAGAAGCATTGTCAGAAACTTCTTTGTGATGATTGCATTCAACTCACAGAGTTGAAGATTCCTTTTGAAACAGCAGTTTCGAAACACTCTTTCTGTGGGATCCGCAAGGGGATATTTGGACCTCTTTGAAGGTTTCGTTGGAAACGGGATAATCCTCACCTAAAAGCTAAACGGAAGCATTCTCAGAAACTTCTTTGGGATGTTTGCATTCACCTCACAGAGTTGAACTTTCCCTTTGATAGCGCAGCTTTGACACACTTTTTCTACAATGTGCAAGTGGCTATTTAGCGGGCTTGGAGGACTGTGTTGGAAAAGGAAATATCTTCTCCTAAAAACGACATAGAAGCATTCTCAGAAACTGCTCTGTGATGATTGCATTCAACTCCCAGAGTTGAACATTCCTTTTGATAGAGCAGTTTGCAAACACTCTTTTTGTAGAATCTGCAAGTGGAGATTTGGACCGCTTTGAGGCCTGTGGTAGTGAAGGAAAGAACTTCATATAAAAACCAGACGGTAGCACTCTCAGAAAATTCTTTGTGACGATGGAGTTTAACTCAGGGAGCTGAACATTCGTTATGATGGAGCAGTTTCCAAACACACGTTTTGTAGAATCTGCAAGGGGATATTTGGACCTCTCTGAGGATTTCGTTGGAAACGGGATCAACTTCCCATAACTGAACGGAAGCAAACTCAGAACATTCTTTGTGATGTTTGTATTCAACTCACAGAGTTGAACCTTCCTTTGATAGTTCAGGTTTGCAACACCCTTGTAGTAGAATCTGCAAGTGTATATTTTGACCACTTTGTAGCCTTCGTTTGAAACATGCTATATCTTCACATCAAACCTAGACAGAAGCATTCTCAGAAAGTTTTCTGCGATGACTGCATTCAACTCACAGAGTTGAACAATCCTTCTGATGGAGCAGTTTTGAAACCCTCTTTCTTTGGAATCTGCAAGGGGATATGTGGACCTCTTTGAAGATTTCACTGGAAACGGGATCATCTTCACATAAAAACTAAACAGAAGCATTCTCGGAAACTACTTTGTGATGTTTGTATTCAACTCCCAGAGTTGAACTTTCCTTTTGAAAGAGCAGCTATGAAACACTCTTTTTCGAGAATCTGCAAGTGGACGTTTGGAGGGCTTTGAGGCCTGTGGTGGAAAAGGAAATATCTTCACATAAAAACTAGATAGAAGCATTCTCAGAAACGACTTTGTGAGGATGGCATTCAACTCATGGAGTTGAACAATCCTATTGATAGAGCAGATTGGAATCACTCTTTTTGTAGAATCTGCAAATGGAGATTTGGACTGCTTTGAGGCCTACGGTAGTATAGGAAGGAACTTCATATAAAAGGCAAACGGAAGCATTCTCAGAATATTCTTTGTGATGATGGAGTTTCACTCACAGAGCTGAACATGCCTTTTCATGGAGCAGTTTCCAAATACACTTTTGGTAGAATCTGCAGGTGGATATTTGGAGCTCTCTGAGGATTTCGTTGGAAACGGGAATAATTTTCCATAACTAAACACAAACACGCTGAGAAAGTTCTTCATGATGAATGCATTGAACTCGCAGAGATGAACCTGCCTTTGAGAGTTCAGGTTCGAAACACTCTTTCTGTAGAATCTGCAAGTGGATATTTGGACCACTGGGTGGCCTTCGTTCGAAACGGGTATATGTTCACCTAAAAACTAAAGAGAGCATTCTCAGAAACTTCTGAGTGATGATTGCATTCAAGTCACACAGTTGAACCCTCCTTTTGATGGAGCAGTTTTGAAACTGTCTTTTTGTAGAATCTGTAAGTGGATACGTGGACCTCTTTGAAGATTTCTTTGGAAACGGGAATATTTCCACAGAAAAACTAAACTGAAGCATTCTCAGAAACCGCTTTGTGATGTTTGTGTTCGAGCCACAGAGTTTAACATTGCTTTTCATAGAGCAGTTTTGAAATATTCTTTTGGCAGAATCTGCAAGTGGACATTTGGAGCGCTTTCAGGCCTGTGGTGGCAAAGGCCTGAAAGCCTTTTCCTTTATCTTCACAGAAAGACGAGAGAGAAGCATTGTCAGAAACTTCTTTGTGATGATTGCATTCAACTCACAGAGTTGAAGATTCCTTTTGAAACAGCAGTTTCGAAACACTCTTTCTGTGGGATCCGCAAGGGGATATTTGGACCTCTTTGAAGGTTTCGTTGGAAACGGGATAATCTTCACCTAAAAGCTAAACGGAAGCATTCTCAGAAACTTCTTTGGGATGTTTGCATTCACCTCACAGAGTTGAACTTTCCCTTTGATAGCGCAGCTTTGACACACTTTTTCTACAATGTGCAAGTGGCTATTTAGCGGGCTTGGAGGACTGTGTTGGAAAAGGAAATATCTTCTCCTAAAAACGACATAGAAGCATTCTCAGAAACTGCTCTGTGATGATTGCATTCAACTCCCAGAGTTGAACATTCCTTTTGATAGAGCAGTTTGCAAACACTCTTTTTGTAGAATCTGCAAGTGGAGATTTGGACCGCTTTGAGGCCTGTGGTAGTGAAGGAAAGAACTTCATATAAAAACCAGACGGTAGCACTCTCAGAAAATTCTTTGTGACGATGGAGTTTAACTCAGGGAGCTGAACATTCGTTATGATGGAGCAGTTTCCAAACACACGTTTTGTAGAATCTGCAAGGGGATATTTGGACCTCTCTGAGGATTTCGTTGGAAACGGGATCAACTTCCCATAACTGAACGGAAGCAAACTCAGAACATTCTTTGTGATGTTTGTATTCAACTCACAGAGTTGAACCTTCCTTTGATAGTTCAGGTTTGCAACACCCTTGTAGTAGAATCTGCAAGTGTATATTTTGACCACTTTGTAGCCTTCGTTTGAAACATGCTATATCTTCACATCAAACCTAGACAGAAGCATTCTCAGAAAGTTTTCTGCGATGACTGCATTCAACTCACAGAGTTGAACAATCCTTCTGATGGAGCAGTTTTGAAACCCTCTTTCTTTGGAATCTGCAAGGGGATATGTGGACCTCTTTGAAGATTTCACTGGAAACGGGATCATCTTCACATAAAAACTAAACAGAAGCATTCTCGGAAACTACTTTGTGATGTTTGTATTCAACTGCCAGAGTTGAACTTTCCTTTTGAAAGAGCAGCTATGAAACACTCTTTTTCGAGAATCTGCAAGTGGACGTTTGGAGGGCTTTGAGGCCTGTGGTGGAAAAGGAAATATCTTCACATAAAAACTAGATAGAAGCATTCTCAGAAACTACTTTGTGAGGATGGCATTCAACTCATGGAGTTGAACAATCCTATTGATAGAGCAGATTGGAATCACTCTTTTTGTAGAATCTGCAAATGGAGATTTGGACTGCTTTGAGGCCTACAGTAGTACAGGAAGGAACTTCATATAAAAGGCAAACGGAAGCATTCTCAGAATATTCTTTGTGATGATGGAGTTTCACTCACAGAGCTGAACATGCCTTTTGATGGAGCAGTTTCCAAATACACTTTTGGTAGAATCTGCAGGTGGATATTTGGAGCTCTCTGAGGATTTCGTTGGAAACGGGAATAATTTCCCATAACTAAACACAAACACTCTGAGAAAGTTCTTCATGATGAATGCATTTAACTCGCAGAGATGAACCTGCCTTTGAGAGTTCAGGTTCGAAACACTCTTTCTGTAGAATCTGCAAGTGGATATTTGGACCACTGGGTGGCCTTCGTTCGAAACGGGTATATGTTCACGTAAAAACTAAAGAGAAGCATTCTCAGAAACTTCTGAGTGATGATTGCATTCAAGTCACACAGTTGAACCCTCCTTTTGATGGAGCAGTTTTGAAACTGTCTTTTTGTAGAATCTGTAAGTGGATGCGTGGACCTCTTTGAAGATTTCTTTGGAAACGGGAATATTTCCACAGAAAAACTAAACTGAAGCATTCTCAGAAACTGCTTTGTGATGTTTGTGTTCGAGCCACAGAGTTTAACATTGCTTTTCATAGAGCAGTTTTGAAATATTCTTTTCGCAGAATCTGCAAGTGGACATTTGGAGCGCTTTCAGGCCTGTGGTGGCAAAGGCCTGAAAGCCTTTTCCTTTATCTTCACAGAAAGACGAGAGAGAAGCATTGTCAGAAACTTCTTTGTGATGATTGCATTCAACTCACAGAGTTGAAGATTCCTTTTGAAACAGCAGTTTCGAAACACTCTTTCTGTGGGATCCGCAAGGGGATATTTGGACCTCTTTGAAGGTTTCGTTGGAAACGGGATAATCTTCACCTAAAAGCTAAACGGAAGCATTCTCAGAAACTTCTTTGGGATGTTTGCATTCACCTCACAGAGTTGAACTTTCCCTTTGATAGCGCAGCTTTGACACACTTTTTCTACAATGTGCAAGTGGCTATTTAGCGGACTTGGAGGACTGTGTTGGAAAAGGAAATATCTTCTCCTAAAAACGACATAGAAGCATTCTCAGAAACTGCTCTGTGATGATTGCATTCAACTCCCAGAGTTGAACATTCCTTTTGATAGAACAGTTTGCAAACACTCTTTTTGTAGAATCTGCAAGTGGAGATTTGGACCGCTTTGAGGCCTGTGGTAGTGAAGGAAAGAACTTCATATAAAAACCAGACGGTAGCACTCTCAGAAAATTCTTTGTGACGATGGAGTTTAACTCAGGGAGCTGAACATTCGTTATGATGGAGCAGTTTCCAAACACACGTTTTGTAGAATCTGCAAGGGGATATTTGGACCTCTCTGAGGATTTCGTTGGAAACGGGATCAACTTCCCATAACTGAACGGAAGCAAACTCAGAACATTCTTTGTGATGTTTGTATTCAACTCACAGAGTTGAACCTTCCTTTGATAGTTCAGGTTTGCAACACCCTTGTAGTAGAATCTGCAAGTGTATATTTTGACCACTTTGTAGCCTTCGTTTGAAACGTCTATATCTTCACATCAAACCTAGACAGAAGCATTCTCAGAAAGTTTTCTGCGATGACTGCATTCAACTCACAGAGTTGAACAATCCTTCTGATGGAGCAGTTTTGAAACCCTCTTTCTTTGGAATCTGCAAGGGGATATGTGGACCTCTTTGAAGATTTCACTGGAAACGGGATCATCTTCACATAAAAACTAAACAGAAGCATTCTCGGAAACTACTTTGTGATGTTTGTATTCAACTCCCAGAGTTGAACTTTCCTTTTGAAAGAGCAGCTATGAAACTCTCTTTTTCGAGAATCTGCAAGTGGACGTTTGGAGGGCTTTGAGGCCTGTGGTGGAAAAGGAAATATCTTCACATAAAAACTAGATAGAAGCATTCTCAGAAACGACTTTGTGAGGATGGCATTCAACTCATGGAGTTGAACAATCCTATTGATAGAGCAGATTGGAATCACTCTTTTTGTAGAATCTGCAAATGGAGATTTGGACTGCTTTGAGGCCTACGGTCGTATAGGAAGGAACTTCAGATAAAAGGCAAACGGAAGCATTCTCAGAATATTCTTTGTGATGATGGAGTTTCACTCACAGAGCTGAACATGCCTTTTGATGGAGCAGTTTCCAAATACACTTTTGGTAGAATCTGCAGGTGGATATTTGGAGCTCTCTGAGGATTTCGTTGGAAACGTTAATAATTTCCCATAACTAAACACAAAAACACTCTGAGAAAGTTCTTCATGATGAATGTATTTAACTTGCAGAGATGAACCTGCCTTTGAGAGTTCAGGTTCGAAACACTCTTTCTGTAGAATCTGCAAGTGGATATTTGGACCACTGGCTGGCCTTCGTTCGAAACGGGTATATGTTCACGTAAAAACTAAAGAGAAGCATTCTCAGAAACTTCTGAGTGATGATTGCATTCAAGTCACACAGTTGAACCCTCCTTTTGATGGAGCAGTTTTGAAACTGTCTTTTTGTAGAATCTGTAAGTGGATACGTGGACCTCTTTGAAGATTTCTTTGGAAACGGGAATATTTCCACAGAAAAACTAAACTGAAGCATTCTCAGAAACTGCTTTGTGATGTTTGTGTTCGAGCCACAGAGTTTAACATTGCTTTTCATAGAGCAGTTTTGAAATATTCTTTTGGCAGAATCTGCAAGTGGACATTTGGAGCGCTTTCAGGCCTGTGGTGGAAAAGGCCTGAAAGCCTTTTCCTTTATCTTCACAGAAAGACGAGAGAGAAGCATTGTCAGAAACTTCTTTGTGATGATTGCATTCAACTCACAGAGTTGAAGATTCCTTTTGAAACAGCAGTTTCGAAACACTCTTTCTGTGGGATCCGCAAGGGGATATTTGGACCTCTTTGAAGGTTTCGTTGGAAACGGGATAATCTTCACCTAAAAGCTAAACGGAAGCATTCTCAGAAACTTCTTTGGGATGTTTGCATTCACCTGACAGAGTTGAACTTTCCCTTTGATAGCGCAGCTTTGACACACTTTTTCTACAATGTGCAAGTGGCTATTTAGCGGGCTTGGAGGACTGTGTTGGAAAAGGAAATATCTTCTCCTAAAAACGACATAGAAGCATTCTCAGAAACTGCTCTGTGATGATTGCATTCAACTCCCAGAGTTGAACATTCCTTTTGATAGAGCAGTTTGCAAACACTCTTTTTGTAGAATCTGCAAGTGGAGATTTGGACCGCTTTGAGGCCTGTGGTAGTGAAGGAAAGAACTTCATATAAAAACCAGACGGTAGCACTCTCAGAAAATTCTTTGTGACGATGGAGTTTAACTCAGGGAGCTGAACATTCGTTATGATGGAGCAGTTTCCAAACACACGTTTTGTAGAATCTGCAAGGGGATATTTGGACCTCTCTGAGGATTTCGTTGGAAACGGGATCAACTTCCCATAACTGAACGGAAGCAAACTCAGAACATTCTTTGTGATGTTTGTATTCAACTCACAGAGTTGAACCTTCCTTTGATAGTTCAGGTTTGCAACACCCTTGTAGTAGAATCTGCAAGTGTATATTTTGACCACTTTGTAGCCTTCGTTTGAAACGTCTATATCTTCACATCAAACCTAGACAGAAGCATTCTCAGAAAGTTTTCTGCGATGACTGCATTCAACTCACAGAGTTGAACAATCCTTCTGATGGAGCAGTTTTGAAACCCTCTTTCTTTGGAATCTGCAAGGGGATATGTGGACCTCTTTGAAGATTTCACTGGAAACGGGATCATCTTCACATAAAAACTAAACAGAAGCATTCTCGGAAACTACTTTGTGATGTTTGTATTCAACTCCCAGAGTTGAACTTTCCTTTTGAAAGAGCAGCTATGAAACACTCTTTTTCGAGAATCTGCAAGTGGACGTTTGGAGGGCTTTGAGGCCTGTGGTGGAAAAGGAAATATCTTCACATAAAAACTAGATAGAAGCATTCTCAGAAACGACTTTGTGAGGATGGCATTCAACTCATGGAGTTGAACAATCCTATTGATAGAGCAGATTGGAATCACTCTTTTTGTAGAATCTGCAAATGGAGATTTGGACTGCTTTGAGGCCTACGGTCGTATAGGAAGGAACTTCATATAAAAGGCAAACGGAAGCATTCTCAGAATATTCTTTGTGATGATGGAGTTTCACTCACAGAGCTGAACATGCCTTTTGATGGAGCAGTTTCCAAATACACTTTTTGTAGAATCTGCAGGTGGATATTTGGAGCTCTCTGAGGATTTCTTTGGAAACGGGAATAATTTCCCATAACTAAACACAAACACTCTGAGAAAGTTCTTCATGATGAATGCATTTAACTCGCAGAGATGAACCTGCCTTTGAGAGTTCAGGTTCGAAACACTCTTTCTGTAGAATCTGCAAGTGGATATTTGGACCACTGGCTGGCCTTCGTTCGAAACGGGTATATGTTCACGTAAAAACTAAAGAGAAGCATTCTCAGAAACTTCTGAGTGATGATTGCATTCAAGTCACACAGTTGAACCCTCCTTTTGATGGAGCAGTTTTGAAACTGTCTTTTTGTAGAATCTGTAAGTGGATACGTGGACCTCTTTGAAGATTTCTTTGGAAACGGGAATATTTCCACAGAAAAACTAAACTGAAGCATTCTCAGAAACTGCTTTGTGATGTTTGTGTTCGAGCCACAGAGTTTAACATTGCTTTTCATAGAGCAGTTTTGAAATATTCTTTTGGCAGAATCTGCAAGTGGACATTTGGAGCGCTTTCAGGCCTGTGGTTGGGAAAAGGCCTGAAAGCCTTTTCCTTTATCTTCACAGAAAGACGAGAGAGAAGCATTGTCAGAAACTTCTTTGTGATGATTGCATTCAACTCACAGAGTTGAAGATTCCTTTTGAAACAGCAGTTTCGAAACACTCTTTCTGTGGGATCCGCAAGGGGATATTTGGACCTCTTTGAAGGTTTCGTTGGAAACGGGATAATCTTCACCTAAAAGCTAAACGGAAACATTCTCAGAAACTTCTTTGGGATGTTTGCATTCACCTCACAGAGTTGAACTTTCCCTTTGATAGCGCAGCTTTGACACACTTTTTCTACAATGTGCAAGTGGCTATTTAGCGGGCTTGGAGGACTGTGTTGGAAAAGGAAATATCTTCTCCTAAAAACGACATAGAAGCATTCTCAGAAACTGCTCTGTGATGATTGCATTCAACTCCCAGAGTTGAACATTCCTTTTGATAGAGCAGTTTGCAAACACTCTTTTTGTAGAATCTGCAAGTGGAGATTTGGACCGCTTTGAGGCCTGTGGTAGTGAAGGAAAGAACTTCATATAAAAACCAGACGGTAGCACTCTCAGAAAATTCTTTGTGACGATGGAGTTTAACTCAGGGAGCTGAACATTCGTTATGATGGAGCAGTTTCCAAACACACGTTTTGTAGAATCTGCAAGGGGATATTTGGACCTCTCTGAGGATTTCGTTGGAAACGGGATCAACTTCCCATAACTGAACGGAAGCAAACTCAGAACATTCTTTGTGATGTTTGTATTCAACTCACAGAGTTGAACCTTCCTTTGATAGTTCAGGTTTGCAACACCCTTGTAGTAGAATCTGCAAGTGTATATTTTGACCACTTTGTAGCCTTCGTTTGAAATATCTATATCTTCACATCAAACCTAGACAGAAGCATTCTCAGCAAAGTTTTCTGCGATGACTGCATTCAACTCACAGAGTTGAACAATCCTTCTGATGGAGCAGTTTTGAAACCCTCTTTCTTTGGAATCTGCAAGGGGATATGTGGACCTCTTTGAAGATTTCACTGGAAACGGGATCATCTTCACATAAAAACTAAACAGAAGCATTCTCGGAAACTATTTTGTGATGTTTGCATTCAACTCCCAGAGTTGAACTTTCCTTTTGAAAGAGCAGCTATGAAACACTCTTTTTCGAGAATCTGCAAGTGGACGTTTGGAGGGCTTTGAGGCCTGTGGTGGAAAAGGAAATATCTTCACACAAAAACCAGATAGAAGCATTCTCAGAAACTGCTTTGTGAGGATGGCATTCAAATCATGGAGTTGAACAATCCTATTGATAGAGCAGATTGGAATCACTCTTTTTATAGAATCTGCAAATGGAGATTTGGACTGCTTTGAGGCCTACGGTAGTACAGGAAGGAACTTCATATAAAAGGCAAACGGAAGCATTCTCAGAATATTCTTTGTGATGATGGAGTTTCACTCACAGAGCTGAACATGCCTTTTGATGGAGCAGTTTCCAAATACACTTTTGGTAGAATCTGCAGGTGGATATTTGGAGCTCTCAGAGGATTTCGTTGGAAACGGGAATAATTTCCCATAACTAAACACAAACACTCTGAGAAAGTTCTTCATGATGAATGCATTTAACTCGCAGAGATGAACCTGCCTTTGAGAGTTCAGGTTCGAAACACTCTTTCTGTATAATCTGCAAGTGGATATTTGGACCACTGGGTGGCCTTCGTTCGAAACGGGTATATGTTCACGTAAAAACTAAAGAGAAGCATTCTCAGAAACTTCTGAGTGATGATTGCATTCAAGTCACACAGTTGAACCCTCCTTTTGATGGAGCAGTTTTGAAACTGTCTTTTTGTAGAATCTGTAAGTGGATACGTGGACCTCTTTGAAGATTTCTTTGGAAACGGGAATATTTCCACAGAAAAACTAAACTGAAACATTCTCAGAAACCGCTTTGTGATGTTTGTGTTCCAGCCACAGAGTTTAACATTGCTTTTCATAGAGCAGTTTTGAAATATTCTTTTCGCAGAATCTGCAAGTGGACATTTGGAGCGCTTTCAGGCCTGTGGTGGAAAAGGCCTGAAAGCCTTTTCCTTTATCTTCACAGAAAGACGAGAGAGAAGCATTGTCAGAAACTTCTTTGTGATGATTGCATTCAACTCACAGAGTTGAAGATTCCTTTTGAAACAGCAGTTTCGAAACACTCTTTCTGTGGGATCCGCAAGGGGATATTTGGACCTCTTTGAAGGTTTCGTTGGAAACGGGATAATCTTCACCTAAAAGCTAAACGGAAGCATTCTCAGAAACTTCTTTGGGATGTTTGCATTCACCTCACAGAGTTGAACTTTCCCTTTGATAGCGCAGCTTTGACACACTTTTTCTACAATGTGCAAGTGGCTATTTAGCGGGCTTGGAGGACTGTGTTGGAAAAGGAAATATCTTCTCCTAAAAACGACATAGAAGCATTCTCAGAAACTGCTCTGTGATGATTGCATTCAACTCCCAGAGTTGAACATTCCTTTTGATAGAGCAGTTTGCAAACACTCTTTTTGTAGAATCTGCAAGTGGAGATTTGGACCGCTTTGAGGCCTGTGGTAGTGAAGGAAAGAACTTCATATAAAAACCAGACGGTAGCACTCTCAGAAAATTCTTTGTGACGATGGAGTTTAACTCAGGGAGCTGAACATTCGTTATGATGGAGCAGTTTCCCAACACACGTTTTGTAGAATCTGCAAGGGGATATTTGGACCTCTCTGAGGATTTCGTTGGAAACGGGATCAACTTCCCATAACTGGACGGAAGCAAACTCAGAACATTCTTTGTGATGTTTGTATTCAACTCACAGAGTTGAACCTTCCTTTGATAGTTCAGGTTTGCAACACCCTTGTAGTAGAATCTGCAAGTGTATATTTTGACCACTTTGTAGCCTTCGTTTGAAACGTCTATATCTTCACATCAAACCTAGACAGAAGCATTCTCAGAAAGTTTTCTGCGATGACTGCATTCAACTCACAGAGTTGAACAATCCTTCTGATGGAGCAGTTTTGAAACCCTCTTTCTTTGGAATCTGCAAGGCGATATGTGGACCTCTTTGAAGATTTCACTGGAAACGGGATCATCTTCACATAAAAACTAAACAGAAGCATTCTCGGAAACTACTTTGTGATGTTTGTATTCAACTCCCAGAGTTGAACTTTCCTTTTGAAAGAGCAGCTATGAAACACTCTTTTTCGAGAATCTGAAAGTGGACGTTTGGAGGGCTTTGAGGCCTGTGGTGGAAAAGGAAATATCTTCACATAAAAACTAGATAGAAGCATTCTCAGAAACGACATTGTGAGGATGGCATTCAACTCATGGAGTTGAACAATCCTATTGATAGAGCAGATTGGAATCACTCTTTTTGTAGAATCTGCAAATGGAGATTTGGACTGCTTTGAGGCCTACGGTAGTACAGGAAGGAAGTTCATATAAAAGGCAAACGGAAGCATTCTCAGAATATTCTTTGTGATGATGGAGTTTCACTCACAGAGCTGAACATGCCTTTTGATGGAGCAGTTTCCAAATACACTTTTGGTAGAATCTGCAGGTGGATATTTGGAGCTCTCTGAGGCTTTCGTTGGAAACGGGAATAATTTCCCATAACTAAACACAAACACTCTGAGAAAGTTCTTCATGATGAATGCATTTAACTCGCAGAGATGAACCTGCCTTTGAGAGTTCATGTTCGAAACACTCTTTCTGTAGAATCTGCAAGTGGATATTTGGACCACTGGCTGGCCTTCGTTCGAAACGGGTATATGTTCACGTAAAAACTAAAGAGAAGCATTCTCAGAAACTTCTGAGTGATGATTGCATTCAAGTCACACAGTTGAACCCTCCTTTTGATGGAGCAGTTTTGAAACTGTCTTTTTGTAGAATCTGTAAGTGGATACGTGGACCTCTTTGAAGATTTCTTTGGAAACGGGAATATTTCCACAGAAAAACTAAACTGAAGCATTCTCAGAAACTGCTTTGTGATGTTTGTGTTCGAGCCACAGAGTTTAACATTGCTTTTCATAGAGCAGTTTTGAAATATTCTTTTGGCAGAATCTGCAAGTGGACATTTGGAGCGCTTTCAGGCCTGTGGTGGAAAAGGCCTGAAAGCCTTTTCCTTTATCTTCACAGAAAGACGAGAGAGAAGCATTGTCAGAAACTTCTTTGGGATGATTGCATTCAACTCACAGAGTTGAAGATTCCTTTTGAAACAGCAGTTTCGAAACACTCTTTCTGTGGGATCCGCAAGGGGATATTTGGACCTCTTTGAAGGTTTCGTTGGAAACGGGATAATCTTCACCTAAAAGCTAAACGGAAGCATTCTCAGAAACTTCTTTGGGATGTTTGCATTCACCTCACACAGTTGAACTTTCCCTTTGATAGCGCAGCTTTGACACACTTTTTCTACAATGTGCAAGTGGCTATTTAGCGGGCTTGGAGGACTGTGTTGGAAAAGGAAATATCTTCTCCTAAAAACGACATAGAAGCATTCTCAGAAACTGCTCTGTGATGATTGCATTCAACTCCCAGAGTTGAACATTCCTTTTGATAGAGCAGTTTGCAAACACTCTTTTTGTAGAATCTGCAAGTGGAGATTTGGACCGCTTTGAGGCCTGTGGTAGTGAAGGAAAGAGCTTCATATAAAAACCAGACGGTAGCACTCTCAGAAAATTCTTTGTGACGATGGAGTTTAACTCAGGGAGCTGAACATTCGTTATGATGGAGCAGTTTCCAAACACACGTTTTGTAGAATCTGCAAGGGGATATTTGGACCTCTCTGAGGATTTCGTTGGAAACGGGATCAACTTCCCATAACTGAACGGAAGCAAACTCAGAACATTCTTTGTGATGTTTGTATTCAACTCAGAGTTGAACCTTCCTTTGATAGTTCAGGTTTGCAACACCCTTGTAGTAGAATCTGCAAGTGTATATTTTGACCACTTTGTAGCCTTCGTTTGAAACGTCTATATCTTCACATCAAACCTAGACAGAAGCATTCTCAGAAAGTTTTCTGCGATGACTGCATTCAACTCACAGAGTTGAACAATCCTTCTGATGGAGCAGTTTTGAAACCCTCTTTCTTTGGAATCTGCAAGGGGATATGTGGACCTCTTTGAAGATTTCACTGGAAACGGGATCATCTTCACATAAAAACTAAACAGAAGCATTCTCGGAAACTACTTTGTGATGTTTGTATTCAACTCCCAGAGTTGAACTTTCCTTTTGAAAGAGCAGCTATGAAACACTCTTTTTCGAGAATCTGCAAGTGGCCGTTTGGAGGGCTTTGAGGCCTGTGGTGGAAAAGGAAATATCTTCACATAAAAACTAGATAGAAGCATTCTTAGAAACGACTTTGTGAGGATGGCATTCAACTCATGGAGTTGAACAATCCTATTGATAGAGCAGATTGGAATCACTCTTTTTGTAGAATCTGCAAATGGAGATTTGGACTGCTTTGAGGCCTACGGTCGTATAGGAAGGAACTTCATATAAAAGGCAAACGGAAGCATTCTCAGAATATTCTTTGTGATGATGGAGTTTCACTCACAGTAGCTGAACATTCCTGTTGATGGAGCAGTTTCCAAATACACTTTTGGTAGAATCTGCAGGTGGATATTTGGAGCTCTCTGAGGATTTCCTTGGAAACGGGAATAATTTCCCATAACTAAACACAAACACTCTGAGAAAGTTCTTCATGATGAATGCATTTAACTCGCAGAGATGAACCTGCCTTTGAGAGTTCAGGTTCGAAACACTCTTTCTGTAGAATCTGCAAGTGGATATTTGGACCACTGGCTGGCCTTCGTTCGAAACGGGTATATGTTCACGTAAAAACTAAAGAGAAGCATTCTCAGAAACTTCTGAGTGATGATTGCATTCAAGTCACACAGTTGAACCCGCCTTTTGATTGAGCAGTTTTGAAACTGTCTTTTTGTAGAATCTGTAAGTGGATACGTGGACCTCTTGGAAGATTTCCTTGGAAACGGGAATATTTCCACAGAAAAACTAAACTGAAGCATTCTCAGAAACTGCTTTGTGATGTTGGTGTTCGAGCCACAGAGTTTAACATTGCTTTTCATAGAGCAGTTTTGAAATATTCTTTTGGCAGAATCTGCAAGTGGACATTTGGAGCGCTTTCAGGCCTGTGGTGGAAAAGGCCTGAAAGCCTTTTCCTTTATCTTCACAGAAAGACGAGAGAGAAGCATTGTCAGAAACTTCTTTGTGATGATTGCATTCAACTCACAGAGTTGAAGATTCCTTTTGAAACAGCAGTTTCGAAACACTCTTTCTGTGGGATCCGCAAGGGGATATTTGGACCTCTTTGAAGATTTCGTTGGAAACGGGATAATCTTCACCTGAAAGCTAAACGGAAGCATTCTCAGAAACTTCTTTGGGATGTTTGCATTCACCTCACAGAGTTGAACTTTCCCTTTGATAGCGCAGCTTCGACACACTTTTTCTATAATGTGCAAGTGGATATTTAGCGGGCTTGGAGGACTGTGTTGGAAAAGGAAATATCTTCTCCTAAAAACGACATAGAAGCATTCTCAGAAACTGCTCTGTGATGATTGCATTCAACTCCCAGAGTTGAACATTCCTTTTGATAGAGCAGTTTGCAAACACTCTTTTTGTAGAATCTGCAAGTGGAGATTTGGACCGCTTTGAGGCCTGTGGTAGTAAAGGAAAGAACTTCATATAAAAACTAGACGGTAGCACCCTCAGAAAATTCTTTGTGACGATGGAGTTTAACTCAGAGAGCTGAACATTCGTTATGATGGAGCAGTTTCCAAACACACGTTTTGTAGAATCTGCAAGGGGATATTTGGACCTCTCTGAGGATTTCGTTGGAAACGGGATCAACTTCCCATAACTGAACGGAAGCAAACTCAGAACATTCTTTGTGATGTTTGTATTCAACTCACAGAGTTGAACCTTCCTTTGATAGTTCAAGTTTGCATCACCCTTGTAGTAGAATCTGTAAGTGTATATTTTGACCACTTTGTAGCCTTCGTTTGAAACGTCTATATCTTCACATCAAACCTAGACAGAAGCATTCTCAGAAAGTTTTCTGCGATGACTGCATTCAACTCACAGAGTTGAACAATCCTTTTGATGGAGCAGTTTAGAAACCCTCTTTCTTTGGAATCTGCAAGGGGATATGTGGACCTCTTTGAAGATTTCACTGGAAACGGGATCATCTTCACATAAGAACTAAACAGAAGCATTCTCGGAAACTACTTTGTGAAGTTTGTATTCAACTCCCAGAGTTGAACTTTCCTTGTGAAAGAGCAGCTATGAAACACTCTTTTTCGAGAATCTGCAAGTGGACGTTTGGAGGGCTTTGAGGCCTGTGGTGGAAAAGGAAATATCTTCACATAAAAACTAGATAGAAGCATTCTCAGAAACGACTTTGTGAGGGTGGCATTCAACTCATGGAGTTGAACAATCCTATTGATAGAGCAGATTGGAATCACTCTTTTTGTAGAATCTGCAAATGGAGATTTGGACTGCTTTGAGGCCTACGGTAGTATAGGAAGGAACTTCATATAAAGGGCAAACGGAAGCATTCTCAGAATATTCTTTGTGATGATGGAGTTTCACTCACAGAGCTGAAAATGCCTTTTGATGGAGCAGTTTCCAAATACACTTTTGGTAGAATCTGCAGGTGGATATTTGGACCTCTCTGAGGATTTCGTTGGAAACGGGAATAATTTCCCATAACTAAATACAAACACTCTGAGAAAGTTCTTCATGATGAATGCATTTAACTCGCAGAGATGAACCTGCCTTTGAGAGTTCATGTTCGAAACACTCTTTCTGTAGAATCTGCAAGTGGATATTTGGACCACTGGCTGGCCTTCGTTCGAAACGGGTATATGTTCACGTAAAAACTAAAGAGAAGCATTCTCAGAAACTTCTGAGTGATGATTGCATTCAAGTCACACAGTTGAACCCTCCTTTTGATGGAGCAGTTTTGAAACTGTCTTTTTGTAGAATCTGTAAGTGGATACGTGGACCTCTTTGAAGATTTCTTTGGAAACGGGAATATTTCCACAGAAAAACTAAACTGAAGCATTCTCAGAAACCGCTTTGTGATGTTTGTGTTCGAGCCACAGAGTTTAACATTGCTTTTCATAGAGCAGTTTTGAAATATTCTTTTGGCAGAATCTGCAAGTGGACATTTGGAGCGCTTTCAGGCCTGTGGTGGAAAAGGCCTGAAAGCCTTTTCCTTTATCTTCACAGAAAGACGAGAGAGAAGCATTGTCAGAAACTTCTTTGTGATGATTGCATTCAACTCACAGAGTTGAAGATTCCTTTTGAAACAGCAGTTTCGAAACACTCTTTCTGTGGGATCCGCAAGGGGATATTTGGACCTCTTTGAAGGTTTCGTTGGAAACGGGATAATCTTCACCTAAAAGCTCAACGGAAGCATTCTCAGAAACTTCTTTGGGATGTTTGCATTCACCTCACAGAGTTGAACTTTCCCTTTGATAGCGCAGCTTTGACACACTTTTTCTACAATGTGCAAGTGGCTATTTAGCGGGCTTGGAGGACTGTGTTGGAAAAGGAAATATCTTCTCCTAAAAACGACATAGAAGCATTCTCAGAAACTGCTCTGTGATGATTGCATTCAACTCCCAGAGTTGAACATTCCTTTTGATAGAGCAGTTTGCAAACACTCTTTTTGTAGAATCTGCAAGTGGAGATTTGGACCGCTTTGAGGCCTGTGGTAGTGAAGGAAAGAACTTCATATAAAAACCAGACGGTAGCACTCTCAGAAAATTCTTTGTGACGATGGAGTTTAACTCAGGGAGCTGAACATTCGTTATGATGGAGCAGTTTCCAAACACACGTTTTGTAGAATCTGCGAGGGGATATTTGGACCTCTCTGAGGATTTCGTTGGAAACGGGATCAACTTCCCATAACTGAACGGAAGCAAACTCAGAACATTCTTTGTGATGTTTGTATTCAACTCACAGAGTTGAACCTTCCTTTGATAGTTCAGGTTTGCAACACCCTTGTAGTAGAATCTGCAAGTGTATATTTTGACCACTTTGTAGCTTTCGTTTGAAACGTCTATATCTTCACATCAAACCTAGACAGAAGCATTCTCAGAAAGTTTTCTGCGATGACTGCATTCAACTCACAGAGTTGAACAATCCTTCTGATGGAGCAGTTTTGAAACCCTCTTTCTTTGGAATCTGCAAGGGGATATGTGGACCTCTTTGAAGATTTCACTGGAAACGGGATCATCTTCACATAAAAACTAAACAGAAGCATTCTCGGAAACTACTTTGTGATGTTTGTATTCAACTCCCAGAGTTGAACTTTCCTTTTGAAAGAGCAGCTATGAAACACTCTTTTTCGAGAATCTGCAAGTGGACGTTTGGAGGGCTTTGAGGCCTGTGGTGGAAAAGGAAATATCTTCACATAAAAACTAGATAGAAGCATTCTCAGAAACGACATTGTGAGGATGGCATTCAACTCATGGAGTTGAACAATCCTATTGATAGAGCAGATTGGAATCACTCTTTTTGTAGAATCTGCAAATGGAGATTTGGACTGCTTTGAGGCCTACGGTAGTATAGGAAGGAACTTCATATAAAAGGCAAACGGAAGCATTCTCAGAATATTCTTTGTGATGATGGAGTTTCACTCACAGAGCTGAACATGCCTTTTGATGGAGCAGTTTCCAAATACACTTTTGGTAGAATCTGCAGGTGGATATTTGGAGCTCTCTGAGGATTTCGTTGGAAACGGGAATAATTTCCCATAACTAAACACAAACACTCTGAGAAAGTTCTTCATGATGAATGCATTTAACTCGCAGAGATGAACCTGTCTTTGACAGTTCAGGTTCGAAACACTCTTTCTGTAGAATCTGCAAGTGGATATTTGGACCACTGGGTGGCCTTCGTTCGAAACGGGTATATGTTCACGTAAAAACTAAAGAGAAGCATTCTCAGAAACTTCTGAGTGATGATTGCATTCAAGTCACACAGTTGAACCCTCCTTTTGATGGAGCAGTTTTGAAACTGTCTTTTTGTAGAATCTGTAAGTGGATACGTGGACCTCTTTGAAGATTTCTTTGGAAACGGGAATATTTCCACAGAAAAACTAAACTGAAAGCATTCTCAGAAACTGCTTTGTGATGTTTGTGTTCGAGCCGCAGAGTTTAACATTGCTTTTCATAGAGCAGTTTTGAAATATTCTTTTGGCAGAATCTGCAAGTGGACATTTGGAGCGCTTTCAGGCCTGTGGTGGAAAAGGCCTGAAAGCCTTTTCCTTTATCTTCACAGAAAGACGAGAGAGAGCATTGTCAGAAACTTCTTTGTGATGATTGCATTCAACTCACAGAGTTGAAGATTCCTTTTGAAACAGCAGTTTCGAAACACTCTTTCTGTGGGATCCGCAAGGGGATATTTGGACCTCTTTGAAGGTTTCGTTGGAAACGGGATAATCTTCACCTAAAAGCTAAACGGAAGCATTCTCAGAAACTTCTTTGGGATGTTTGCATTCACCTCACAGAGTTGAACTTTCCCTTTGATAGCGCAGCTTTGACACACTTTTTCTACAATGTGCAAGTGGCTATTTAGCGGGCTTGGAGGACTGTGTTGGAAAAGGAAATATCTTCTCCTAAAAACGACATAGAAGCATTCTCAGAAACTGCTCTGTGATGATTGCATTCAACTCCCAGAGTTGAACATTCCTTTTGATAGAGCAGTTTGCAAACACTCTTTTTGTAGAATCTGCAAGTGGAGATTTGGACCGCTTTGAGGCCTGTGGTAGTGAAGGAAAGAACTTCATATAAAAACCAGACGGTAGCACTCTCAGAAAATTCTTTGTGACGATGGAGTTTAACTCAGGGAGCTGAACATTCGTTATGATGGAGCAGTTTCCAAACACACGTTTTGTAGAATCTGCAAGGGGATATTTGGACCTCTCTGAGGATTTCGTTGGAAACGGGATCAACTTCCCATAACTGAACGGAAGCAAACTCAGAACATTCTTTGTGATGTTTGTATTCAACTCACAGAGTTGAACCTTCCATTGATAGTTCAGGTTTGCAACACCCTTGTAGTAGAATCTGCAAGTGTATATTTTGACCACTTTGTAGCCCTTCGTTTGAAACGTCTATATCTTCACATCAAACCTAGACAGAAGCATTCTCAGAAAGTTTTCTGCGATGACTGCATTCAACTCACAGAGTTGAACAATCCTTCTGATGGAGCAGTTTTGAAACCCTCTTTCTTTGGAATCTGCAAGGGGATATGTGGACCTCTTTGAAGATTTCACTGGAAACGGGATCATCTTCACATAAAAACTAAACAGAAGCATTCTCGGAAACTACTTTGTGATGTTTGTATTCAACTCCCAGAGTTGAACTTTCCTTTTGAAAGAGCAGCTATGAAACACTCCTTTTCGAGAATCTGCAAGTGGACGTTTGGAGGGCTTTGAGGCCTGTGGTGGAAAAGTTAATATCTTCACATAAAAACTAGATAGAAGCATTCTCAGAAACGACTTTGTGAGGATGGCATTCAACTCATGGAGTTGAACAATCCTATTGATAGAGCAGATTGGAATCACTCTTTTTGTAGAATCTGCAAATGGAGATTTGGACTGCTTTGAGGCCTACGGTCGTATAGGAAGGAACTTCAGATAAAAGGCAAACGGAAGCATTCTCAGAATATTCTTTGTGATGATGGAGTTTCACTCACAGAGCTGAACATGCCTTTTGATGGAGCAGTTTCCAAATACACTTTTGGTAGAATCTGCAGGTGGATATTTGGAGCTCTCTGAGGATTTCGTTGGAAACGGGAATAATTTCCCATAACTAAACACAAACACTCTGAGAAAGTTCTTCATGATGAATGCATTTAACTCGCAGAGATGAACCTGCCTTTGAGAGTTCAGGTTCGAAACACTCTTTCTGTATAATCTGCAAGTGGATATTTGGACCACTGGGTGGCCTTCGTTCGAAACGGGTATATGTTCACGTAAAAACTAAAGAGAAGCATTCTCAGAAACTTCTGAGTGATGATTGCATTCAAGTCACACGGTTGAACCCTCCTTTTGATGGAGCAGTTTTGAAACTGTCTTTTTGTAGAATCTGTAAGTGGATGCGTGGACCTCTTTGAAGATTTCTTTGGAAACGGGAATATTTCCACAGAAAAACTAAACTGAAGCATTCTCAGAAACCGCTTTGTGATGTTTGTGTTCGAGCCGCAGAGTTTAACATTGCTTTTCATAGAGCAGTTTTGAAATATTCTTTTCGCAGAATCTGCAAGTGGACATTTGGAGCGCTTTCAGGCCTGTGGTGGAAAAGGCCTGAAAGCCTTTTCCTTTATCTTCACAGAAAGACGAGAGAGAAGCATTGTCAGAAACTTCTTTGTGATGATTGCATTCAACTCACAGAGTTGAAGATTCCTTTTGAAACAGCAGTTTTGAAACACTCTTTCTGTGGGATCCGCAAGGGGATATTTGGACCTCTTTGAAGGTTTCGTTGGAAACGGGATAATCTTCACCTAAAAGCTAAACGGAAGCATTCTCAGAAACTTCTTTGGGATGTTTGCATTCACCTCACAGAGTTGAACTTTCCCTTTGATAGCGCAGCTTTGACACACTTTTTCTACAATGTGCAAGTGGCTATTTAGCGGGCTTGGAGGACTGTGTTGGAAAAGGAAATATCTTCTCCTAAAAACGACATAGAAGCATTCTCAGAAACTGCTCTGTGATGATTGCATTCAACTCCCAGAGTTGAACATTCCTTTTGATAGAGCAGTTTGCAAACACTCTTTTTGTAGAATCTGCAAGTGGAGATTTGGACCGCTTTGAGGCCTGTGGTAGTGAAGGAAAGAACTTCATATAAAAACCAGACGGTAGCACTCTCAGAAAATTCTTTGTGACGATGGAGTTTAACTCAGGGAGCTGGATATTCGTTATGATGGAGCAGTTTCCAAACACACGTTTTGTAGAATCTGCGAGGGGATATTTGGACCTCTCTGAGGATTTCGTTGGAAACGGGATCAACTTCCCATAACTGAACGGAAGCAAACTCAGAACATTCTTTGTGATGTTTGTATTCAACTCACAGAGTTGAACCTTCCTTTGATAGTTCAGGTTTGCAACACCCTTGTAGTAGAATCTGCAAGTGTATATTTTGACCACTTTGTAGCCTTCGTTTGAAACGTCTATATCTTCACATCAAACCTAGACAGAAGCATTCTCAGAAAGTTTTCTGCGATGACTGCATTCAACTCACAGAGTTGAACAATCCTTCTGATGGAGCAGTTTTGAAACCCTCTTTCTTTGGAATCTGCAAGGGGATATGTGGACCTCTTTGAAGATTTCACTGGAAACGGGATCATCTTCACATAAAAACTAAACAGAAGCATTCTCGGAAACTACTTTGTGATGTTTGTATTCAACTCCCAGAGTTGAACTTTCCTTTTGAAAGAGCAGCTATGAAACACTCTTTTTCGAGAATCTGCAAGTGGACGTTTGGAGGGCTTTGAGGCCTGTGGTGGAAAAGGAAATATCTTCACATAAAAACTAGATAGAAGCATTCTCAGAAACTACTTTGTGAGGATGGCATTCAACTCATGGAGTTGAACAATCCTATTGATAGAGCAGATTGGAATCACTCTTTTTGTAGAATCTGCAAATGGAGATTTGGACTGCTTTGAGGCCTACGGTCGTATACGAAGGAACTTCATATAAAAGGCAAACGGAAGCATTCTCAGAATATTCTTTGTGATGATGGAGTTTCACTCACAGAGCTGAACATGCCTTTTGATGGAGCAGTTTCCAAATACACTTTTGGTAGAATCTGCAGGTGGATATTTGGACCTCTCTGAGGATTTCGTTGGAAACGGGAATAATTTCCCATAACTAAACACAAACACTCTGAGAAAGTTCTTCATGATGAATGCATTTAACTCGCAGAGATGAACCTGCCTTTGAGAGTTCATGTTCGAAACACTCTTTCTGTAGAATCTGCAAGTGGATATTTGGACCACTGGCTGGCCTTCGTTCGAAACGGGTATATGTTCACGTAAAAACTAAAGAGAAGCATTCTCAGAAACTTCTGAGTGATGATTGCATTCAAGTCACACAGTTGAACCCTCCTTTTGATGGAGCAGTTTTGAAACTGTCTTTTTGTAGAATCTGTAAGTGGATACGTGGACCTCTTTGAAGATTTCTTTGGAAACGGGAATATTTCCACAGAAAAACTAAACTGAAGCATTCTCAGAAACCGCTTTGTGATGTTTGTGTTCCAGCCACAGAGTTTAACATTGCTTTTCATAGAGCAGTTTTGAAATATTCTTTTGGCAGAATCTGCAAGTGGACATTTGGAGCGCTTTCAGGCCTGTGGTGGAAAAGGCCTGAAAGCCTTTTCCTTTATCTTCACAGAAAGACGAGAGAGAAGCATTGTCAGAAACTTCTTTGTGATGATTGCATTCAACTCACAGAGTTGAAGATTCCTTTTGAAACAGCAGTTTCGAAACACTCTTTCTGTGGGATCCGCAAGGGGATATTTGGACCTCTTTGAAGCTTTCGTTGGAAACGGGATAATCTTCACCTAAAAGCTAAACGGAAGCATTCTCAGAAACTTCTTTGGGATGTTTGCATTCACCTCACAGAGTTGAACTTTCCCTTTGATAGCGCAGCTTTGACACACTTTTTCTACAATGTGCAAGTGGATATTTAGCGGGCTTGGAGGACTGTGTTGGAAAAGGAAATATCTTCTCCTAAAAACGACATAGAAGCATTCTCAGAAACTGCTCTGTGATGATTGCATTCAACTCCCAGAGTTGAACATTCCTTTTGATAGAGCAGTTTGCAAACACTCTTTTTGTAGAATCTGCAAGTGGAGATTTGGACCGCTTTGAGGCCTGGGGTAGTGAAGGAAAGAACTTCATATAAAAACCAGACGGTAGCACTCTCAGAAAATTCTTTGTGACGATGGAGTTTAACTCAGGGAGCTGAACATTCGTTATGATGGAGCAGTTTCCAAACACACGTTTTGTAGAATCTGCAAGGGGATATTTGGACCTCTCTGAGGATTTCGTTGGAAACGGGATCAACTTCCCATAACTGAACGGAAGCAAACTCAGAACATTCTTTGTGATGTTTGTATTCAACTCACAGAGTTGAACCTTCCTTTGATAGTTCAGGTTTGCAACACCCTTGTAGTAGAATCTGCAAGTGTATATTTTGACCACTTTGTAGCCTTCGTTTGAAACGTCTATATCTTCACATCAAACCTAGACAGAAGCATTCTCAGAAAGTTTTCTGCGATGACTGCATTCAACTCACAGAGTTGAACAATCCTTCTGATGGAGCAGTTTTGAAACCCTCTTTCTTTGGAATCTGCAAGGGGATATGTGGACCTCTTTGAAGATTTCACTGGAAACGGGATCGATCATCTTCACATAAAAACTAAACAGAAGCATTCTCGGAAACTACTTTGTGATGTTTGTATTCAACTCCCAGAGTTGAACTTTCCTTTTGAAAGAGCAGCTATGAAACACTCTTTTTCGAGAATCTGCAAGTGGACGTTTGGAGGGCTTTGAGGCCTGTGGTGGAAAAGGAAATATCTTCACACAAAAACCAGATAGAAGCATTCTCAGAAACTACTTTGTGAGGATGGCATTCAACTCATGGAGTTGAACAATCCTATTGATAGAGCAGATTGGAATCACTCTTTTTATAGAATCTGCAAATGGAGATTTGGACTGCTTTGAGGACTACGGTAGTACAGGAAGGAACTTCATATAAAAGGCAAACGGAAGCATTCTCAGAATATTCTTTGTGATGATGGAGTTTCACTGACAGAGCTGAACATGCCTTTTGATGGAGCAGTTTCCAAATACACTTTTGGTAGAATCTGCAGGTGGATATTTGGAGCTCTCTGAGGATTTCGTTGGAAACGGGAATAATTTCCCATAACTAAACACAAACACTCTGAGAAAGTTCTTCATGATGAATGCATTTAACTCGCAGAGATGAACCTTCCTTTGAGAGTTCAGGTTCGAAACACTCTTTCTGTATAATCTGCAAGTGGATATTTGGACCACTGGGTGGCCTTCGTTCGAAACGGGTATATGTTCACGTAAAAACTAAAGAGAAGCATTCTCAGAAACTTCTGAGTGATGATTGCATTCAAGTCACACAGTTGAACCCTCCTTTTGATGGAGCAGTTTTGAAACTGTCTTTTTGTAGAATCTGTAAGTGGATACGTGGACCTCTTTGAAGATTTCTTTGGAAACGGGAATATTTCCACAGAAAAACTAAACTGAAACATTCTCAGAAACCGCTTTGTGATGTTTGTGTTCCAGCCACAGAGTTTAACATTGCTTCTCATAGAGCAGTTTTGAAATATTCTTTTGGCAGAATCTGCAAGTGGACATTTGGAGCGCTTTCAGGCCTGTGGTGGAAAAGGCCTGAAAGCCTTTTCCTTTATCTTCACAGAAAGACGAGAGAGAAGCATTGTCAGAAACTTCTTTGTGATGATTGCATTCAACTCACAGACTTGAAGATTCCTTTTGAAACAGCAGTTTCGAAACACTCTTTCTGTGGGATCCGCAAGGGGATATTTGGACCTCTTTGAAGGTTTCGTTGGAAACGGGATAATCTTCACCTAAAAGCTAAACGGAAGCATTCTCAGAAACTTCTTTGGGATGTTTGCATTCACCTCACAGAGTTGAACTTTCCCTTTGATAGCGCAGCTTTGACACACTTTTTCTACAATGTGCAAGTGGCTATTTAGCGGGCTTGGAGGACTGTGTTGGAAAAGGAAATATCTTCTCCTAAAAACGACATAGAAGCATTCTCAGAAACTGCTCTGTGATGATTGCATTCAACTCCCAGAGTTGAACATTCCTTTTGATAGAGCAGTTTGCAAACACTCTTTTTGTAGAATCTGGAAGTGGAGATTTGGACCGCTTTGAGGCCTGTGGTAGTGAAGGAAAGAGCTTCATATAAAAACCAGACGGTAGCACTCTCAGAAAATTCTTCGTGACGATGGAGTTTAACTCAGGGAGCTGAACATTCGTTATGATGGAGCAGTCTCCAAACACACGTTTTGTAGAATCTGCAAGGGGATATTTGGACCTCTCTGAGGATTTCGTTGGAAACGGGATCAACTTCCCATAACTGAACGGAAGCAAACTCAGAACATTCCTTGTGATGTTTGTATTCAACTCACAGAGTTGAACCTTCCTTTGATAGTTCAGGTTTGCAACACCCTTGTAGTAGAATCTGCAAGTGTATATTTTGACCACTTTGTAGCCTTCGTTTGAAACGTCTATATCTTCACATCAAACCTAGACAGAAGCCTTCTCAGAAAGTTTTCTGCGATGACTGCATTCAACTCACAGAGTTGAACAATCCTTCTGATGGAGCAGTTTTGAAACCCTCTTTCTTTGGAATCTGCAAGGGGATATGTGGACCTCTTTGAAGATTTCACTGGAAACGGGATCATCTTCACATAAAAACTAAACAGAAGCATTCTCGGAAACTACTTTGTGATGTTTGTATTCAACTCCCAGAGTTGAACTTTCCTTTTGAAAGAGCAGCTATGAAACACTCTTTTTCGAGAATCTGCAAGTGGACGTTTGGAGGGCTTTGAGGCCTGTGGTGGAAAAGGAAATATCTTCACATAAAAACTAGATAGAAGCATTCTCAGAAACTACTTTGTGAGGATGGCATTCAACTCATGGAGTTGAACAATCCTATTGATAGAGCAGATTGGAATCACTCTTTTTGTAGAATCTGCAAATGGAGATTTGGACTGCTTTGAGGCCTACGGTCGTATAGGAAGGAACTTCATATAAAAGGCAAACGGAAGCATTCTCAGAATATCTCCTTTGTGATGATGGAGTTTCACTCACAGAGCTGAACATGCCTTTTGATGGAGCAGTTTCCAAATACACTTTTGGTAGAATCTGCAGGTGGATATTTGGACCTCTCTGAGGATTTCGTTGGAAACGGGAATAATTTCCCATAACTAAACACAAACACTCTGAGAAAGTTCTTCATGATGAATGCATTTAACTCGCAGAGATGAACCTGCCTTTGAGAGTTCATGTTCGAAACACTCTTTCTGTAGAATCTGCAAGTGGATATTTGGACCACTGGCTGGCCTTCGTTCGAAACGGGTATATGTTCACGTAAAAACTAAAGAGAAGCATTCTCAGAAACTTCTGAGTGATGATTGCATTCAAGTCACACAGTTGAACCCTCCTTTTGATGGAGCAGTTTTGAAACTGTCTTTTTGTAGAATCTGTAAGTGGATACGTGGACCTCTTTGAAGATTTCTTTGGAAACGGGAATATTTCCACAGAAAAACTAAACTGAAGCATTCTCAGAAACCGCTTTGTGATGTTTGTGTTCGAGCCACAGAGTTTAACATTGCTTTTCGTAGAGCAGTTTTGAAATATTCTTTTCGCAGAATCTGCAAGTGGACATTTGGAGCGCTTTCAGGCCTGTGGTGGAAAAGGCCTGAAAGCCTTTTCCTTTATCTTCACAGAAAGACGAGAGAGAAGCATTGTCAGAAACTTCTTTGTGATGATTGCATTCAACTCACAGAGTTGAAGATTCCTTTTGAAACAGCAGTTTCGAAACACTCTTTCTGTGGGATCCGCAAGGGGATATTTGGACCTCTTTGAAGGTTTCGTTGGAAACGGGATAATCTTCACCTAAAAGCTAAACGGAAGCATTCTCAGAAACTTCTTTGGGATGTTTGCATTCACCTCACAGAGTTGAACTTTCCCTTTGATAGCGCAGCTTTGACACACTTTTTCTACAATGTGCAAGTGGCTATTTAGCGGGCTTGGAGGACTGTGTTGGAAAAGGAAATATCTTCTCCTAAAAACGACATAGAAGCATTCTCAGAAACTGCTCTGTGATGATTGCATTCAACTCCCAGAGTTGAACATTCCTTTTGATAGAGCAGTTTGCAAACACTCTTTTTGTAGAATCTGCAAGTGGAGATTTGGACCGCTTTGAGGCCTGTGGTAGTGAAGGAAAGAACTTCATATAAAAACCAGACGGTAGCACTCTCAGAAAATTCTTTGTGACGATGGAGTTTAACTCAGGGAGCTGAACATTCGTTATGATGGAGCAGTTTCCAAACACACGTTTTGTAGAATCTGCAAGGGGATATTTGGACCTCTCTGAGGATTTCGTTGGAAACGGGATCAACTTCCCATAACTGAACGGAAGCAAACTCAGAACATTCTTTGTGATGTT
This sequence comes from Homo sapiens, assembly GCF_000001405.40. Taxonomy (NCBI): domain Eukaryota; kingdom Metazoa; phylum Chordata; class Mammalia; order Primates; family Hominidae; genus Homo; species Homo sapiens. The sequence continues at coordinate 59,991,743 of NC_000023.11, forward strand.
TGTATTCAACTCACAGAGTTGAACCTTCCTTTGATAGTTCAGGTTTGCAACACCCTTGTAGTAGAATCTGCAAGTGTATATTTTGATCACTTTGTAGCCTTCGTTTGAAACGTCTATATCTTCACATCAAACCTAGACAGAAGCATTCTCAGAAAGTTTTCTGCGATGACTGCATTCAACTCACAGAGTTGAAGAATCCTTTTGATGGAGCAGTTTTGAAACCCTCTTTCTTTGGAATCTGCAAGGGGATATGTGGACCTCTTTGAAGATTTCACTGGAAACGGGATCATCTTCACATAAAAACTAAACAGAAGCATTCTCGGAAACTATTTTGTGATGTTTGTATTCAACTCCCAGAGTTGAACTTTCCTTTTGAAAGAGCAGCTATGAAACACTCTTTTTCGAGAATCTGCAAGTGGACGTTTGGAGGGCTTTGAGGCCTGTGGTGGAAAAGGAAATATCTTCACACAAAAACCAGATAGAAGCATTCTCAGAAACTACTTTGTGAGGATGGCATTCAACTCATGGAGTTGAACAATCCTATTGATAGAGCAGATTGGAATCACTCTTTTTGTAGAATCTGCAAATGGAGATTTGGACTGCTTTGAGGCCTACGGTCGTATAGGAAGGAACTTCATATAAAAGGCAAACGGAAGCATTCTCAGAATATTCTTTGTGATGATGGAGTTTCACTCACAGAGCTGAACATGCCTTTTGATGGAGCAGTTTCCAAATACACTTTTGGTAGAATCTGCAGGTGGATATTTGGAGCTCTCTGAGGATTTCGTTGGAAACGGGAATAATTTCCCATAACTAAACACAAACACTCTGAGAAAGTTCTTCATGATGAATGCATTTAACTCGCAGAGATGAACCTGCCTTTGAGAGTTCAGGTTCGAAACACTCTTTCTGTAGAATCTGCAAGTGGATATTTGGACCACTGGCTGGCCTTCGTTCGAAACGGGTATATGTTCACGTAAAAACTAAAGAGAAGCATTCTCAGAAACTTCTGAGTGATGATTGCATTCAAGTCACACAGTTGAACCCTCCTTTTGATGGAGCAGTTTTGAAACTGTCTTTTTGTAGAATCTGTAAGTGGATACGTGGACCCCCTTTGAAGATTTCTTTGGAAACGGGAATATTTCCACAGAAAAACTAAACTGAAGCATTCTCAGAAACTGCTTTGTGATGTTTGTGTTCGAGCCACAGTAGTTTAACATTGCTTTTCATAGAGCAGTTTTGAAATATTCTTTTGGCAGAATCTGCAAGTGGACATTTGGAGCGCTTTCAGGCCTGTGGTGGAAAAGGCCTGAAAGCCTTTTCCTTTATCTTCACAGAAAGACGAGAGAGAAGCATTGTCAGAAACTTCTTTGTGATGATTGCATTCAACTCACAGAGTTGAAGATTCCTTTTGAAACAGCAGTTTCGAAACACTCTTTCTGTGGGATCCGCAAGGGGATATTTGGACCTCTTTGAAGGTTTCGTTGGAAACGGGATAATCTTCACCTAAAAGCTAAACGGAAGCATTCTCAGAAACTTCTTTGGGAAGTTTGCATTCACCTCACAGAGTTGAATTTTCCCTTTGATAGCGCAGCTTCGACACACTTTTTCTACAATGTGCAAGTGGATATTTAGCGGGCTTGGAGGACTGTGTTGGAAAAGGAAATATCTTCTCCTAAAAACGACATAGAAGCATTCTCAGAAACTGCTCTGTGATGATTGCATTCAACTCCCAGAGTTGAACATTCCTTTTGATAGAGCAGTTTGCAAACACTCTTTTTGTAGAATCTGCAAGTGGAGATTTGGACCGCTTTGAGGCCTGTGGTAGTAAAGGAAAGAACTTCATATAAAAACTAGACGGTAGCACTCTCAGAAAATTCTTTGTGACGATGGAGTTTAACTCAGAGAGCTGAACATTCGTTATGATGGAGCAGTTTCCAAACACACGTTTTGTAGAATCTGCAAGGGGATATTTGGACCTCTCTGAGGATTTCGTTGGAAACGGGATCAACTTCCCATAACTGAACGGAAGCAAACTCAGAACATTCTTTGTGATGTTTGTATTCAACTCACAGAGTTGAACCTTCCTTTGATAGTTGAGGTTTGCAACACCCTTGTAGTAGAATCTGCAAGTGTATATTTTGACCACTTTGTAGCCTTCGTTTGAAACGTCTATATCTTCACCTCAAACCTAGACAGAAGCATTCTCAGAAAGTTTTCTGCGATGACTGCATTCAACTCACAGAGTTGAACAATCCTTTTGATGGAGCAGTTTTGAAACCCTCTTTCTTTGGAATCTGCAAGGGGATATGTGGACCTCTTTGAAGATTTCACTGGAAACGGGATCATCTTCACATAAGAACTAAACAGAAGCATTCTCGGAAACTACTTTGTGATGTTTGTATTCAACTCCCAGAGTTGAACTTTCCTTTTGAAAGAGCAGCTATGAAACACTCTTTTTCGAGAATCTGCAAGTGGACGTTTGGAGGGCTTTGAGGCCTGTGGTGGAAAAGGAAATATCTTCACATAAAAACTAGATAGAAGCATTCTCACAAACGACTTTGTGAGGATGGCATTCAAATCATGGAGTTGAACAATCCTATTGATAGAGCAGATTGGAATCACTCTTTTTGTAGAATCTGCAAATGGAGATTTGGACTGCTTTGAGGCCTACGGTAGTATAGGAAGGAACTTCATATAAAAGGCAAACGGAAGCATTCTCAGAATATTCTTTGTGATGATGGAGTTTCACTCACAGAGCTGAACATGCCTTTTGATGGAGCAGTTTCCAAATACACTTTTGGTAGAATCTGCAGGTGGATATTTGGACCTCTCTGAGGATTTCGTTGGAAACGGGAATAATTTCCCATAACTAAACACAAACACGCTGAGAAAGTTCTTCATGATGAATGCATTGAACTCGCAGAGATGAACCTGCCTTTGAGAGTTCAGGTTCGAAACACTCTTTCTGTAGAATCTGCAAGTGGATATTTGGACCACTGGCTGGCCTTCGTTCGAAACGGGTATATGTTCACGTAAAAACTAAAGAGAAGCGTTCTCAGAAACTTCTGAGTGATGATTGCATTCAAGTCACACAGTTGAACCCTCCTTTTGATTGAGCAGTTTTGAAACTGTCTTTTTGTAGAATCTGTAAGTGGATGCGTGGACCTCTTTGAAGATTTCTTTGGAAACGGGAATATTTCCACAGAAAAACTAAACTGAAGCATTCTCTGAAACTGCTTTGTGATGTTTGTGTTCGAGCCGCAGAGTTTAACATTGCTTTTCATAGAGCAGTTTTGAAATATTCTTTTGGAAGAATCTGCAAGTGGACATTTGGAGCGCTTTCAGGCCTGTGGGTGGAAAAGGCCTGAAAGCCTTTTCCTTTATCTTCACAGAAAGACGAGAGAGAAGCATTGTCAGAAACTTCTTTGTGATGATTGCATTCAACTCACAGAGTTGAAGATTCCTTTTGAAACAGCAGTTTCGAAACACTCTTTCTGTGGGATCCGCAAGGGGATATTTGGACCTCTTTGAAGGTTTCGTTGGAAACGGGATAATCTTCACCTAAAAGCTAAACGGAAGCATTCTCAGAAATTTCTTTGGGATGTTTGCATTCACCTCACAGAGTTGAACTTTCCCTTTGATAGCGCAGCTTTGACACACTTTTTCTACAATGTGCAAGTGGCTATTTAGCGGGCTTGGAGGACTGTGTTGGAAAAGGAAATATCTTCTCCTAAAAACGACATAGAAGCATTCTCAGAAACTGCTCTGTGATGATTGCATTCAACTCCCAGAGTTGAACATTCCTTTTGATAGAGCAGTTTGCAAACACTCTTTTTGTAGAATCTGCAAGTGGAGATTTGGACCGCTTTGAGGCCTGTGGTAGTGAAGGAAAGAACTTCATATAAAAACCAGACGGTAGCACTCTCAGAAAATTCTTTGTGACGATGGAGTTTAACTCAGGGAGCTGAACATTCGTTATGATGGAGCAGTTTCCAAACACACGTTTTGTAGAATCTGCAAGGGGATATTTGGACCTCTCTGAGGATTTCGTTGGAAACGGGATCAACTTCCCATAACTGAACGGAAGCAAACTCAGAACATTCTTTGTGATGTTTGTATTCAACTCACAGAGTTGAACCTTCCTTTGATAGTTCAGGTTTGCAACACCCTTGTAGTAGAATCTGCAAGTGTATATTTTGACCACTTTGTAGCCTTCGTTTGAAACGTCTATATCTTCACATCAAACCTAGACAGAAGCATTCTCAGAAAGTTTTCTGCGATGACTGCATTCAACTCACAGAGTTGAACAATCCTTCTGATGGAGCAGTTTTGAAACCCTCTTTCTTTGGAATCTGCAAGGGGATATGTGGACCTCTTTGAAGATTTCACTGGAAACGGGATCATCTTCACATAAAAACTAAACAGAAGCATTCTCGGAAACTACTTTGTGATGTTTGTATTCAACTCCCAGAGTTGAACTTTCCTTTTGAAAGAGCAGCTATGAAACACTCTTTTTCGAGAATCTGCAAGTGGACGTTTGGAGGGCTTTGAGGCCTGTGGTGGAAAAGGAAATATCTTCACATAAAAACTAGATAGAAGCATTCTCAGAAACGACTTTGTGAGGATGGCATTCAACACATGGAGTTGAACAATCCTATTGATAGAGCAGATTGGAATCACTCTTTTTGTAGAATCTGCAAATGGAGATTTGGACTGCTTTGAGGCCTACGGTCGTATAGGAAGGAAGTTCATATAAAAGGCAAACGGAAGCATTCTCAGAATATTCTTTGTGATGATGGAGTTTCACTCACAGAGCTGAACATGCCTTTTGATGGAGCAGTTTCCAAATACACTTTTGGTAGAATCTGCAGGTGGATATTTGGAGCTCTCTGAGGATTTCGTTGGAAACGGGAATAATTTCCCATAACTAAACACAAACACTCTGAGAAAGTTCTTCATGATGAATGCATTTAACTCGCAGAGATGAACCTGCCTTTGAGAGTTCAGGTTCGAAACACTCTTTCTGTAGAATCTGCAAGTGGATATTTGGACCACTGGGTGGCCTTCGTTCGAAACGGGTATATGTTCACGTAAAAACTAAAGAGAAGCATTCTCAGAAACTTCTGAGTGATGATTGCATTCAAGTCACACAGTTGAACCCTCCTTTTGATGGAGCAGTTTTGAAACTGTCTTTTTGTAGAATCTGTAAGTGGATACGTGGACCTCTTTGAAGATTTCTTTGGAAACGGGAGTATTTCCACAGAAAATCTAAACTGAAGCATTCTCAGAAACTGCTTTGTGATGTTTGTGTTCGAGCCACAGAGTTTAACATTGCTTTTCATAGAGCAGTTTTGAAATATTCTTTTGGCAGAATCTGCAAGTGGACATTTGGAGCGCTTTCAGGCCTGTGGTGGAAAAGGCCTGAAAGCCTTTTCCTTTATCTTCACAGAAAGACGAGAGAGAAGCATTGTCAGAAACTTCTTTTTGATGATTGCATTCAACTCACAGAGTTGAAGATTCCTTTTGAAACAGCAGTTTCGAAACACTCTTTCTGTGGGATCCGCAAGGGGATATTTGGACCTCTTTGAAGGTTTCGTTGGAAACGGGATAATCTTCACCTAAAAGCTAAACGGAAGCATTCTCAGAAACTTCTTTGGGATGTTTGCATTCACCTCACAGAGTTGAACTTTCCCTTTGATAGCGCAGCTTTGACACACGTTTTCTACAATGTGCAAGTGGCTATTTAGCGGGCTTGGAGGACTGTGTTGGAAAAGGAAATATCTTCTCCTAAAAACGACATAGAAGCATTCTCAGAAACTGCTCTGTGATGATTGCATTCAACTCCCAGAGTTGAACATTCCTTTTGATAGAGCAGTTTGCAAACACTCTTTTTGTAGAATCTGCAAGTGGAGATTTGGACCGCTTTGAGGCCTGTGGTAGTGAAGGAAAGAGCTTCATATAAAAACCAGACGGTAGCACTCTCAGAAAATTCTTTGTGACGATGGAGTTTAACTCAGGGAGCTGAACATTCGTTATGATGGAGCAGTTTCCAAACACACGTTTTGTAGAATCTGCAAGGGGATATTTGGACCTCTCTGAGGATTTCGTTGGAAACGGGATCAACTTCCCATAACTGAACGGAAGCAAACTCAGAACATTCTTTGTGATGTTTGTATTCAACTCACAGAGTTGAACCTTCCTTTGATAGTTCAGGTTTGCAACACCCTTGTAGTAGAATCTGCAAGTGTATATTTTGACCACTTTGTAGCCTTCGTTTGAAACGTCTATATCTTCACATCAAACCTAGACAGAAGCATTCTCAGAAAGTTTTCTGCGATGACTGCATTCAACTCACAGAGTTGAACAATCCTTCTGATGGAGCAGTTTTGAAACCCTCTTTCTTTGGAATCTGCAAGGGGATATGTGGACCTCTTTGAAGATTTCACTGGAAACGGGATCATCTTCACATAAAAACTAAACAGAAGCATTCTCGGAAACTACTTTGTGATGTTTGTATTCAACTCCCAGAGTTGAACTTTCCTTTTGAAAGAGCAGCTATGAAACACTCTTTTTCGAGAATCTGCAAGTGGACGTTTGGAGGGCTTTGAGGCCTGTGGTGGAAAAGGAAATATCTTCACACAAAAACCAGATAGAAGCATTCTCAGAAACTACTTTGTGAGGATGGCATTCAACTCATGGAGTTGAACAATCCTATTGATAGAGCAGATTGGAATCACTCTTTTTATAGAATCTGCAAATGGAGATTTGGACTGCTTTGAGGCCTACGGTAGTACAGGAAGGAACTTCATATAAAAGACAAACGGAAGCATTCTCAGAATATTCTTTGTGATGATGGAGTTTCACTCACAGAGCTGAACATGCCTTTTGATGGAGCAGTTTCCAAATACACTTTTGGTAGAATCTGCAGGTGGATATTTGGAGCTCTCTGAGGATTTCGTTGGAAACGGGAATAATTTCCCATAACTAAACACAAACACTCTGAGAAAGTTCTTCATGATGAATGCATTTAACTCGCAGAGATGAACCTGCCTTTGAGAGTTCAGGTTCGAAACACTCTTTCTGTAGAATCTGCAAGTGGATATTTGGACCACTGGCTGGCCTTCGTTCGAAACGGGTATATGTTCACGTAAAAACTAAAGAGAAGCATTCTCAGAAACTTCTGAGTGATGATTGCATTCAAGTCACACAGTTGAACCCTCCTTTTGATGGAGCAGTTTTGAAACTGTCTTTTTGTAGAATCTGTAAGTGGATACGTGGACCTCTTTGAAGATTTCTTTGGAAACGGGAATATTTCCACAGAAAAACTAAACTGAAGCATTCTCAGAAACTGCTTTGTGATGTTTGTGTTCGAGCCACAGAGTTTAACATTGCTTTTCATAGAGCAGTTTTGAAATATTCTTTTGGCAGAATCTGCAAGTGGACATTTGGAGCGCTTTCAGGCCTGTGGTGGAAAAGGCCTGAAAGCCTTTTCCTTTATCTTCACAGAAAGACGAGAGAGAAGCATTGTCAGAAACTTCTTTGTGATGATTGCATTCAACTCACAGAGTTGAAGATTCCTTTTGAAACAGCAGTTTCGATACACTCTTTCTGTGGGATCCGCAAGGGGATATTTGGACCTCTTTGAAGGTTTCGTTGGAAACGGGATAATCTTCACCTAAAAGCTAAACGGAAGCATTCTCAGAAACTTCTTTGGGATGTTTGCATTCACCTCACAGAGTTGAACTTTCCCTTTGATAGCGCAGCTTTGACACACTTTTTCTACAATGTGCAAGTGGCTATTTAGCGGGCTTGGAGGACTGTGTTGGAAAAGGAAATATCTTCTCCTAAAAACGACATAGAAGCATTCTCAGAAACTGCTCTGTGATGATTGCATTCAACTCCCAGAGTTGAACATTCCTTTTGATAGAGCAGTTTGCAAACACTCTTTTTGTAGAATCTGCAAGTGGAGATTTGGACCGCTTTGAGGCCTGTGGTAGTGAAGGAAAGAACTTCATATAAAAACCAGACGGTAGCACTCTCAGAAAATTCTTTGTGACGATGGAGTTTAACTCAGGGAGCTGAACATTCGTTATGATGGAGCAGTTTCCGAACACACGTTTTGTAGAATCTGCAAGGGGATATTTGGACCTCTCTGAGGATTTCGTTGGAAACGGGATCAACTTCCCATAACTGAACGGAAGCAAACTCAGAACATTCTTTGTGATGTTTGTATTCAACTCCCAGAGTTGAAATTTCCTTTTGAAAGAGCAGCTATGAAACACTCTTTTTCGAGAATCTGCAAGTGGACTTTTGGAGGGCTTTGAGGCCTGTGGTGGAAAAGGAAATATCTTCACATAAAAACTAGATAGAAGCATTCTCAGAAACTACTTTGTGAGGATGGCATTCAACTCATGGAGTTGAACAATCCTATTGATAGAGCAGATTGGAATCACTCTTTTTGTAGAATCTGCAAATGGAGATTTGGACTGCTTTGAGGCCTACGGTAGTATAGGAAGGAACTTCATATAAAAGGCAAACGGAAGCATTCTCAGAATATTCTTTGTGATGATGGAGTTTCACTCACAGAGCTGAACATGCCTTTTGATGGAGCAGTTTCCAAATACACTTTTGGTAGAATCTGCAGGTGGATATTTGGAGCTCTCTGAGGATTTCGTTGGAAAAGGGAATAATTTCCCATAACTAAACACAAACACTCTGAGAAAGTTCTTCATGATGAATGCATTTAACTCGCAGAGATGAACCTGCCTTTGAGAGTTCAGGTTCGAAACACTCTTTCTGTAGAATCTGCAAGTGGATATTTGGACCACTGGCTGGCCTTCGTTCGAAACGGGTATATGTTCACGTAAAAACTAAAGAGAAGCATTCTCAGAAACTTCTGAGTGATGATTGCATTCAAGTCACACAGTTGAACCCTCCTTTTGATGGAGCAGTTTTGAAACTGTCTTTTTGTAGAATCTGTAAGTGGATACAGTGGACCTCTTTGAAGATTTCTTTGGAAACGGGAATATTTCCACAGAAAAACTAAACTGAAGCATTCTCAGAAACCGCTTTGTGATGTTTGTGTTCGAGCCGCAGAGTTTAACATTGCTTTTCATAGAGCAGTTTTGAAATATTCTTTTGGCAGAATCTGCAAGTGGACATTTGGAGCGCTTTCAGGCCTGTGGTGGCAAAGGCCTGAAAGCCTTTTCCTTTATCTTCACAGAAAGACGAGAGAGAAGCATTGTCAGAAACTTCTTTGTGATGATTGCATTCAACTCACAGAGTTGAAGATTCCTTTTGAAACAGCAGTTTCGAAACACTCTTTCTGTGGGATCCGCAAGGGGATATTTGGACCTCTTTGAAGGTTTCGTTGGAAACGGGATAATCTTCACCTAAAAGCTAAACGGAAGCATTCTCAGAAACTTCTTTGGGATGTTTGCATTCACCTCACAGAGTTGAACTTTCCCTTTGATAGCGCAGCTTTGACACACTTTTTCTACAATGTGCAAGTGGCTATTTAGCGGGCTTGGAGGACTGTGTTGGAAAAGGAAATATCTTCTCCTAAAAACGACATAGAAGCATTCTCAGAAACTGCTCTGTGATGATTGCATTCAACTCCCAGAGTTGAACATTCCTTTTGATAGAGCAGTTTGCAAACACTCTTTTTGTAGAATCTGCAAGTGGAGATTTGGACCGCTTTGAGGCCTGTGGTAGTGAAGGAAAGAACTTCATATAAAAACCAGACGGTAGCACTCTCAGAAAATTCTTTGTGACGATGGAGTTTAACTCAGGGAGCTGAACATTCGTTATGATGGAGCAGTTTCCAAACACACGTTTTGTAGAATCTGCAAGGGGATATTTAGACCTCTCTGAGGATTTCGTTGGAAACGGGATCAACTTCCCATAACTGAACGGAAGCAAACTCGGAACATTCTTTGTGATGTTTGTATTCAACTCACAGAGTTGAACCTTCCTTTGATAGTTCAGGTTTGCAACACCCTTGTAGTAGAATCTGCAAGTGTATATTTTGACCACTTTGTAGCCTTCGTTTGAAACGTCTATATCTTCACATCAAACCTAGACAGAAGCATTCTCAGAAAGTTTTCTGCGATGACTGCATTCAACTCACAGAGTTGAACAATCCTTCTGATGGAGCAGTTTTGAAACCCTCTTTCTTTGGAATCTGCAAGGGGATATGTGGACCTCTTTGAAGATTTCACTGGAAACGGGATCATCTTCACATAAAAACTAAACAGAAGCATTCTCGGAAACTACTTTGTGATGTTTGTATTCAACTCCCAGAGTTGAACTTTCCTTTTGAAAGAGCAGCTATGAAACACTCTTTTTCGAGAATCTGCAAGTGGACGTTTGGAGGGCTTTGAGGCCTGTGGTGGAAAAGGAAATATCTTCACATAAAACTAGATAGAAGCATTCTCAGAAACTACTTTGTGAGGATGGCATTCAACTCATGGAGTTGAACAATCCTATTGATAGAGCAGATTGGAATCACTCTTTTTGTGGAATCTGCAAATGGAGATTTGGACTGCTTTGAGGCCTACGGTCGTATAGGAAGGAACTTCATATAAAAGGCAAACGGAAGCATTCTCAGAATATTCTTTGTGATGATGGAGTTTCACTCACAGAGCTGAACATGCCTTTTGATGGAGCAGTTTCCAAATACACTTTTGGTAGAATCAGCAGGTGGATATTTGGAGCTCTCTGAGGATTTCGTTGGAAACGGGAATAATTTCCCATAACTAAACACAAACACTCTGAGAAAGTTCTTCATGATGAATGCATTTAACTTGCAGAGATGAACCTGCCTTTGAGAGTTCAGGTTCGAAACACTCTTTCTGTAGAATCTGCAAGTGGATATTTGGACCACTGGGTGGCCTTCGTTCGAAACGGGTATATGTTCACGTAAAAACTAAAGAGAAGCATTCTCAGAAACTTCTGAGTGATGATTGCATTCAAGTCACACAGTTGAACCCTCCTTTTGATGGAGCAGTTTTGAAACTGTCTTTTTGTAGAATCTGTAAGTGGATACGTGGACCTCTTTGAAGATTTCTTTGGAAACGGGAATATTTCCACAGAAAAACTAAACTGAAACATTCTCAGAAACCGCTTTGTGATGTTTGTGTTCCAGCCACAGAGTTTAACATTGCTTTTCATAGAGCAGTTTTGAAATATTCTTTTCGCAGAATCTGCAAGTGGACATTTGGAGCGCTTTCAGGCCTGTGGTGGAAAAGGCCTGAAAGCCTTTTCCATTATCTTCACAGAAAGACGAGAGAGAAGCATTGTCAGAAACTTCTTTGTGATGATTGCATTCAACTCACAGAGTTGAAGATTCCTTTTGAAACAGCAGTTTCGAAACACTCTTTCTGTGGGATCCGCAAGGGGATATTTGCACCTCTTTGAAGGTTTCGTTGGAAACGGGATAATCTTCACCTAAAAGCTAAACGGAAGCATTCTCAGAAACTTCTTTAGGATGTTTGCATTCACCTCACAGAGTTGAACTTTCCCTTTGATAGCGCAGCTTTGACACACTTTTTCTACAATGTGCAAGTGGCTATTTAGCGGGCTTGGAGGACTGTGTTGGAAAAGGAAATATCTTCTCCTAAAAACGACATAGAAGCATTCTCAGAAACTACTCTGTGATGATTGCATTCAACTCCCAGAGTTGAACATTCCTTTTGATAGAGCAGTTTGCAAACACTCTTTTTGTAGAATCTGCAAGTGGAGATTTGGACCGCCTTGAGGCCTGTGGTAGTAAAGGAAAGAACTTCATATAAAAACTAGACGGTAGCACTCTCAGAAAATTCTTTGTGACGATGGAGTTTAACTCAGGGAGCTGAACATTCGTTATGATGGAGCAGTTTCCAAACACACGTTTTGTAGAATCTGCGAGGGGATATTTGGACCTCTCTGAGGATTTCGTTGGAAACGGGATCAACTTCCCATAACTGAACGGAAGCAAACTCAGAACATTCTTTGTGATGTTTGTATTCAACTCACAGAGTTGAACCTTCCTTTGATAGTTCAGGTTTGCAACACCCTTGTAGTAGAATCTGCAAGTGTATATTTTGACCACTTTGTAGCCTTCATTTGAAACGTCTATATCTTCACATCAAACCTAGACAGAAGCATTCTCAGAAAGTTTTCTGCGATGACTGCATTCAACTCACAGAGTTGAACAATCCTTCTGATGGAGCAGTTTTGAAACCCTCTTTCTTTGGAATCTGCAAGGGGATATGTGGACCTCTTTGAAGATTTCACTGGAAACGGGATCATCTTCACATAAAAACTAAACAGAAGCATTCTCGGAAACTACTTTGTGATGTTTGTATTCAACTCCCAGAGTTGAACTTTCCTTTTGAAAGAGCAGCTATGAAACACTCTTTTTCGAGAATCTGCAAGTGGACGTTTGGAAGGCTTTGAGGCCTGTGGTGGAAAAGGAAATATCTTCACATAAAAACTAGATAGAAGCATTCTCAGAAACTACTTCGTGAGGATGGCTTTCAACTCATGGAGTTGAACAATCCTATTGATACAGCAGATTGGAATCACTCTTTTTGTAGAATCTGCAAATGGAGATTTGGACTGCTTTGAGGCCTACGGTCGTATAGGAAGGAACTTCATATAAAAGGCAAACGGAAGCATTCTCAGAATATTCTTTGTGATGATGGAGTTTCACTCACAGAGCTGAACATGCCTTTTGATGGAGCAGTTTCCAAATACACTTTTGGTAGAATCTGCAGGTGGATATTTGGAGCTCTCTGAGGATTTCGTTGGAAACGGGAATAATTTCCCATAACTAAACACAAACACTCTGAGAAAGTTCTTCATGATGAATGCATTTAACTCGCAGAGATGAACCTGCCTTTGAGAGATTCAGGTTCGAAACACTCTTTCTGTAGAATCTGCAAGTGGATATTTGGACCACTGGGTGGCCTTCGTTCGAAACGGGTATATGTTCACCTAAAAACTAAAGAGAAGCATTCTCAGAAACTTCTGAGTGATGATTGCATTCAAGTCACACAGTTGAACCCTCCTTTTGATGGAGCAGTTTTGAAACTGTCTTTTTGTAGAATCTGTAAGTGGATACGTGGACCTCTTTGAAGATTTCTTTGGAAACGGGAATATTTCCACAGAAAAACTAAACTGAAGCATTCTCAGAAACTGTTTTGTGATGTTTGTGTTCGAGCCGCAGAGTTTAACATTGCTTTTCATAGAGCAGTTTTGAAATATTCTTTTGGCAGAATCTGCAAGTGGACATTTGGAGCGCTTTCAGGCCTGTGGTGGAAAAGACCTGAAAGCCTTTTCCTTTATCTTCACAGAAAGACGAGAGAGAAGCATTGTCAGAAACTTCTTTGTGATGATTGCATTCAACTCACAGAGTTGAAGATTCCTTTTGAAACAGCAGTTTCGAAACACTCTTTCTGTGGGATCCGCAAGGGGATATTTGGACCTCTTTGAAGCTTTCGTTGGAAACGGGATAATCTTCACCTAAAAGCTAAACGGAAGCATTCTCAGAAACTTCTTTGGGATGTTTGCATTCACCTCACAGAGTTGAACTTTCCCTTTGATAGCGCAGCTTCGACACACTTTTTCTACAATGTGCAAGTGGATATTTAGCGGGCTTGGAGGACTGTGTTGGAAAAGGAAATATCTTCTCCTAAAAACGACATAGAAGCATTCTCAGAAACTGCTCTGTGATGATTGCATTCAACTCCCAGAGTTGAACATTCCTTTTGATAGAGCAGTTTGCAAACACTCTTTTTGTAGAATCTGCAAGTGGAGATTTGGACCGCTTTGAGGCCTGTGGTAGTAAAGGAAAGAACTTCATATAAAAACTAGACGGTAGCACTCTCAGAAAATTCTTTGTGACGATGGAGTTTAACTCAGAGAGCTGAACATTCGTTATGATGGAGCAGTTTCCAAACACACGTTTTGTAGAATCTGCAAGGGGATATTTGGACCTCTCTGAGGATTTCGTTGGAAACGGGATCAACTTCCCATAACTGAACGGAAGCAAACTCAGAACATTCTTTGTGATGTTTGCATTCATCTCACAGAGTTGAACCTTCCTTTGATAGTTGAGGTTTGCAGCACCCTTGTAGGAGAATCTGCAAGTGTATATTTTGACCACTTTGTAGCCTTCGTTTGAAACGTCTATATCTTCACATCAAACCTAGACAGAAGCATTCTCAGAAAGTTTTCTGCGATGACTGCATTCAACTCACAGAGTTGAACAATCCTTTTGATGGAGCAGTTTTGAAACCCTCTTTTTTTGGAATCTGCAAGGGGATATGTGGACCTCTTTGAAGATTTCACTGGAAACGGGATCATCTTCACATAAGAACTAAACAGAAGCATTCTCGGAAACTACTTTGTGATGTTTGTATTCAACTCCCAGAGTTGAACTTTCCTTTTGAAAGAGCAGCTATGAAACACTCTTTTTCGAGAATCTGCAAGTGGACGTTTGGAGGGCTTTGAGGCCTGTGGTGGAAAAGGAAATATCTTCACATAAAAACTACATAGAAGCATTCTCAGAAACGACTTTGTGAGGATGGCATTCAACTCATGGAGTTGAACAATCCTATTGATAGAGCAGATTGGAATCACTCTTTTTGTAGAATCTGCAAATGGAGATTTGGACTGCTTTGAGGCCTACGGTAGTATAGGAAGGAACTTCATATAAAAGGCAAACGGAAGCATTCTCAGAATATCCTTTGTGATGATGGAGTTTCACTCACAGAGCTGAACATGCCTTTTGATGGAGCAGTTGCCAAATACACTTTTGGTAGAATCTGCAGGTGGATATTTGGAGCTCTCTGAGGATTTCGTTGGAAACGGGAATAATTTCCCATACCTAAACACAAACACTCTGAGAAAGTTCTTCATGATGAATGCATTTAACTCGCAGAGATGAACCTGCCTTTGAGAGTTCAGGTTCGAAACACTCTTTCTATAGAATCTGCAAGTGGATATTTGGACCACTGGGTGGCCTTCGTTCTAAACGGGTATATGTTCACGTAAAAACTAAAGAGAAGCATTCTCAGAAACTTCTGAGTGATGATTGCATTCAAGTCACACGGTTGAACCCTCCTTTTGATTGAGCAGTTTTGAAACTGTCTTTTTGTAGAATCTGTAAGTGGATACGTGGACCTCTTTGAAGATTTCTTTGGAAACGGGAATATTTCCACAGAAAAACTAAACTGAAGCACTCTCAGAAACTGCTTTGTGATGTTTGTGTTCGAGCCACAGATTTTAACATTGCTTTTCATAGAGCAGTTTTGAAATATTCTTTTGGCAGAATCTGCAAGTGGACATTTGGAGCGCTTTCAGGCCTGTGGTGGAAAAGGCCTGAAAGCCTTTTCCTTTATCTTCACAGAAAGACGAGAGAGAAGCATTGTCAGAAACTTCTTTGTGATGATTGCATTCAACTCACAGAGTTGAAGATTCCTTTTGAAACAGCAGTTTCGAAACACTCTTTCTGTGGGATCCGCAAGGGGATATTTGGACCTCTTTGAAGATTTCGTTGGAAACGGGATAATCTTCACCTAAAAGCTAAACGGAAGCATTCTCAGAAACTTCTTTGGGATGTTTGCATTCACCTCACAGAGTTGAACTTTCCCTTTGATAGCGCAGCTTCGACACACTTTTTCTACAATGTGCAAGTGGCTATTTAGCGGGCTTGGAGGACTGTGTTGGAAAAGGAAATATCTTCTCCTAAAAACGACATAGAAGCATTCTCAGAAACTGCTCTGTGATGATTGCATTCAACTCCCAGAGTTGAACATTCCTTTTGATAGAGCAGTTTGCAAACACTCTTTTTGTAGAATCTGCAAGTGGAGATTTGGACCGCTTTGAGGCCTGTGGTAGTGAAGGAAAGAACTTCATATAAAAACCAGACGGTAGCACTCTCAGAAAATTCTTTGTGACGATGGAGTTTAACTCAGGGAGCTGAACATTCGTTATGATGGAGCAGTTTCCAAACACACGTTTTGTAGAATCTGCAAGGGGATATTTGGACCTCTCTGAGGATTTCGTTGGAAACGGGATCAACTTCCCATAACTGAACGGAAGCAAACTCAGAACATTCTTTGTGATGTTTGTATTCAACTCACAGAGTTGAACCTTCCTTTGATAGTTCAGGTTTGCAACACCCTTGTAGTAGAATCTGCAAGTGTATATTTTGACCTCTTTGTAGCCTTCGTTTGAAACGTCTATATCTTCACATCAAACCTAGACAGAAGCATTCTCAGAAAGTTTTCTGCGATGACTGCATTCAACTCACAGAGTTGAACAATCCTTTTGATGGAGCAGTTTTGAAACCCTCTTTCTTTGGAATCTGCAAGGGGATATGTGGACCTCTTTGAAGATTTCACTGGAAACGGGATCATCTTCACATAAAAACTAAACAGAAGCATTCTCGGAAACTACTTTGTGATGTTTGTATTCAACTCCCAGAGTTGAACTTTCCTTTTGAAAGAGCAGCTATGAAACACTCTTTTTCGAGAATCTGCAAGTGGACGTTTGGAGGGCTTTGAGGCCTGTGGTGGAAAAGGAAATATCTTCACATAAAAACTAGATAGAAGCATTCTCAGAAACGACTTTGTGAGGATGGCATTCAACTCATGGAGTTGAACAATCCTATTGATAGAGCAGATTGGAATCACTCTTTTTGTAGAATCTGCAAATGGAGATTTGGACTGCTTTGAGGCCTACGGTAGTATAGGAAGGAACTTCATATAAAAGGCAAACGGAAGCATTCTCAGAATATTCTTTGTGATGATGGAGTTTCACTCACAGAGCTGAACATGCCTTTTGATGGAGCAGTTTCCAAATACACTTTTGGTAGAATCTGCAGGTGGATATTTGGACCTCTCTGAGGATTTCGTTGGAAACGGCAATAATTTCCCATACCTAAACACAAACACGCTGAGAAAGTTCTTCATGTTGAATGCATTGAACTCGCAGAGATGAACCTGCCTTTGAGAGTTCAGGTTCGAAACACTCTTTCTGTAGAATCTGCAAGTGGATATTTGGACCACTGGGTGGCCTTCGTTCGAAACGGGTATATGTTCACGTAAAAACTAAAGAGAAGCATTCTCAGAAACTTCTGACTGATGATTGCATTCAAGTCACACGGTTGAACCCTCCTTTTGATTGAGCAGTTTTGAAACTGTCTTTTTGTAGAATCTGTAAATGGATACGTGGACCTCTTTGAAGATTTCTTTGGAAACGGGAATATTTCCACAGAAAAACTAAACTGAAGCATTCTCAGAAACCGCTTTGTGATGTTTGTGTTCGAGCCGCAGAGTTTAACATTGCTTTTCATAGAGCAGTTTTGAAATATTGTTTTGGCAGAATCTGCAAGTGGACATTTGGAGTGCTTTCAGGCCTGTGGTGGAAAAGGCCTGAAAGCCTTTTCCTTTATCTTCACAGAAAGACGAGAGAGAAGCATTGTCAGAAACTTCTTTGTGATGATTGCATTCAACTCACAGAGTTGAAGAGTCCTTTTGAAACAGCAGTTTCGAAACACTCTTTCTGTGGGATCCGCAAGGGGATATTTGGACCTCTTTGAAGGTTTCTTTGGAAACGGGATAATCTTCACCTAAAAGCTAAACGGAAGCATTCTCAGAAACTTCTTTGGGATGTTTGCATTCACCTCACAGAGTTGAACTTTCCCTTTGATAGCGCAGCTTCGACACACTTTTTCTACAATGTGCAAGTGGATATTTAGCGGGCTTGGAGGACTGTGTTGGAAAAGGAAATATCTTCTCCTAAAAACGACATAGAAGCATTCTCAGAAACTGCTCTGTGATGATTGCATTCAACTCCCAGAGTTGAACATTCCTTTTGATAGAGCAGTTTGCAAACACTGTTTTTGTAGAATCTGCAAGTGGAGATTTGGACCGCTTTGAGGCCTGTGGTAGTAAAGGAAAGAACTTCATATAAAAACTAGACGGTAGCACCCTCAGAAAATTCTTTGTGACGATGGAGTTTAACTCAGAGAGCTGAACATTCGTTATGATGGAGCAGTTTCCAAACACACGTTTTGTAGAATCTGCAAGGGGATATTTGGACCTCTCTGAGGATTTCGTTGGAAATGGGATCAACTTCCCATAGCTGAACGGAAGCAAACTCAGAACATTCTTTGTGATGTTTGTATTCAACTCACAGAGTTGAACCTTCCTTTGATAGTTCAGGTTTGCATCACCCTTGTAGTAGAATCTGCAAGTGTATATTTTGACCACTTTGTAGCGTTCGTTTGAAACGTCTATATCTTCACATCAAACCTAGACAGAAGCATTCTCAGAAAGTTTTCTGCGATGACTGCATTCAACTCACAGAGTTGAACAATCCTTCTGATGGAGCAGTTTTGAAACCCTCTTTCTTTGGAATCTGCAAGGGGATATGTGGACCTCTTTGAAGATTTCACTGGAAACGGGATCATCTTCACATAAAAACTAAACAGAAGCATTCTCGGAAACTACTTTGTGATGTTTGTATTCAACTCCCAGAGTTGAACTTTCCTTTTGAAAGAGCAGCTATGAAACACTCTTTTTCGAGAATCTGCAAGTGGACGTTTGGAGGGCTTTGAGGCCTGTGGTGGAAAAGGAAATATCTTCACATAAAAACTAGATAGAAGCATTCTCAGAAACTACTTTGTGAGGATGGCATTCAACTCATGGAGTTGAACAATCCTATTGATAGAGCAGATTGGAATCACTCTTTTTGTAGAATCTGCAAATGGAGATTTGGACTGCTTTGAGGCCTACGGTCGTATAGGAAGGAACTTCATATAAAAGGCAAACGGAAGCATTCTCAGAATATTCTTTGTGATGATGGAGTTTCACTCACAGAGCTGAACATGCCTTTTGATGGAGCAGTTTCCAAATACACTTTTGGTAGAATCTGCAGGTGGATATTTGGACCTCTCTGAGGATTTCGTTGGAAACGGGAATAATTTCCCATAACTAAACACAAACACTCTGAGAAAGTTCTTCATGATGAATGCATTTAACTCGCAGAGATGAACCTGCCTTTGAGAGTTCAGGTTCGAAACACTCTTTCTGTAGAATCTGCAAGTGGATATTTGGACCACTGGCTGGCCTTCGTTCGAAACGGGTATATGTTCACGTAAAAACTAAAGAGAAGCATTCTCAGAAACTTCTGAGTGATGATTGCATTCAAGTCACACAGTTGAACCCTCCTTTTGATGGAGCAGTTTTGAAACTGTCTTTTTGTAGAATCTGTAAGTGGATACGTGGACCTCTTTGAAGATTTCTTTGGAAACGGGAATATTTCCACAGAAAAACTAAACTGAAGCATTCTCAGAAACCGCTTTTTGATGTTTGTGTTCGAGCCACAGAGTTTAACATTGCTTTTCATAGAGCAGTTTTGAAATATTCTTTTCGCAGAATCTGCAAGTGGACATTTGGAGCGCTTTCAGGCCTGTGGTGGAAAAGGCCTGAAAGCCTTTTCCTTTATCTTCACAGAAAGACGAGAGAGAAGCATTGTCAGAAACTTCTTTGTGATGATTGCATTCAACTCACAGAGTTGAAGATTCCTTTTGAAACAGCAGTTTCGAAACACTCTTTCTGTGGGATCCGCAAGGGGATATTTGGACCTCTTTGAAGGTTTCGTTGGAAACGGGATAATCTTCACCTAAAAGCTAAACGGAAGCATTCTCAGAAACTTCTTTGGGATGTTTGCATTCACCTCACAGAGTTGAACTTTCCCTTTGATAGCGCAGCTTTGACACACTTTTTCTACAATGTGCAAGTGGCTATTTAGCGGGCTTGGAGGACTGTGTTGGAAAAGGAAATATCTTCTCCTAAAAACGACATAGAAGCATTCTCAGAAACTGCTCTGTGATGATTGCATTCAACTCCCAGAGTTGAACATTCCTTTTGATAGAGCAGTTTGCAAACACTCTTTTTGTAGAATCTGCAAGTGGAGATTTGGACCGCTTTGAGGCCTGGGGTAGTGAAGGAAAGAGCTTCATATAAAAACCAGACGGTAGCACTCTCAGAAAATTCTTTGTGACGATGGAGTTTAACTCAGGGAGCTGAACATTCGTTATGATGGAGCAGTTTCCAAACACACGTTTTGTAGAATCTGCAAGGGGATATTTGGACCTCTCTGAGGATTTCGTTGGAAACGGGATCAACTTCCCATAACTGAACGGAAGCAAACTCAGAACATTCTTTGTGATGTTTGTATTCAACTCACAGAGTTGAACCTTCCTTTGATAGTTCAGGTTTGCAACACCCTTGTAGTAGAATCTGCAAGTGTATATTTTGACCACTTTGTAGCCTTCGTTTGAAACGTCTATATCTTCACATCAAACCTAGACAGAAGCATTCTCAGAAAGTTTTCTGCGATGACTGCATTCAACTCACAGAGTTGAACAATCCTTCTGATGGAGCAGTTTTGAAACCCTCTTTCTTTGGAATCTGCAAGGGGATATGTGGACCTCTTTGAAGATTTCACTGGAAACGGGATCATCTTCACATAAAAACTAAACAGAAGCATTCTCGGAAACTACTTTGTGATGTTTGTATTCAACTGCCAGAGTTGAACTTTCCTTTTGAAAGAGCAGCTATGAAACACTCTTTTTCGAGAATCTGCAAGTGGACGTTTGGAGGGCTTTGAGGCCTGTGGTGGAAAAGGAAATATCTTCACATAAAAACTAGATAGAAGCATTCTCAGAAACGACTTTGTGAGGATGGCATTCAACTCATGGAGTTGAACAATCCTATTGATAGAGCAGATTGGAATCACTCTTTTTGTAGAATCTGCAAATGGAGATTTGGACTGCTTTGAGGCCTACGGTCGTATAGGAAGGAACTTCAGATAAAAGGCAAACGGAAGCATTCTCAGAATATTCTTTGTGATGATGGAGTTTCACTCACAGAGCTGAACATGCCTTTTGATGGAGCAGTTTCCAAATACACTTTTGGTAGAATCTGCAGGTGGATATTTGGACCTCTCTGAGGATTTCGTTGGAAACGGGAATAATTTCCCATAACTAAACACAAACACTCTGAGAAAGTTCTTCATGATGAATGCATTTAACTCGCAGAGATGAACCTGCCTTTGAGAGTTCAGGTTCGAAACACTCTTTCTGTAGAATCTGCAAGTGGATATTTGGACCACTGGGTGGCCTTCGTTCGAAACGGGTATATGTTCACGTAAAAACTAAAGAGAAGCATTCTCAGAAACTTCTGAGTGATGATTGCATTCAAGTCACACGGTTGAACCCTCCTTTTGATTGAGCAGTTTTGAAACTGTCTTTTTGTAGAATCTGTAAGTGGATACGTGGACCTCTTTGAAGATTTCTTTCGAAACGGGAATATTTCCACAGAAAAACTAAACTGAAGCATTCTCAGAAACTGCTTTGTGATGTTTGCGTTCGAGCCGCAGAGTTTAACATTGCTTTTCATAGAGCAGTTTTGAAATATTCTTTTGGCAGAATCTGCAAGTGGACATTTGGAGCGCTTTCAGGCCTGTGGTGGAAAAGTCCTGAAAGCCTTTTCCTTTATCTTCACAGAAAGACGAGAGAGAAGCATTGTCAGAAACTTCTTTGTGATGATTGCATTCAACCCACAGAGTTGAAGATTCCTTTTGAAACAGCAGTTTCGAAACACTCTTTCTGTGGGATCCGCAAGGGGATATTTGGACCTCTTTGAAGATTTCGTTGGAAACGGGATAATCTTCACCTAAAAGCTAAACGGAAGCATTCTCAGAAACTTCTTTGGGATGTTTGCATTCACCTCACAGAGTTGAACTTTCCCTTTGATAGCGCAGCTTCGACACCCTTTTTCTACAATGTTCAAGTGGATATTTAGCGGGCTTGGAGGACTGTGTTGGAAAAGGAAATATCTTCTCCTAAAAACGACATAGAAGCATTCTCAGAAACTGCTCTGTGATGATTGCATTCAACTCCCAGAGTTGAACATTCCTTTTGATAGAGCAGTTTGCAAACACTCTTTTTGTAGAATCTGCAAGTGGAGATTTGGACCGCTTTGAGGCCTGTGGTAGTAAAGGAAAGAACTTCATATAAAAACCAGACGGTAGCACTCTCAGAACATTCTTTGTGACGATGGAGTTTAACTCAGAGAGCTGAACATTCGTTATGATGGAGCAGTTTCCAAACACACGTTTTGTAGAATCTGCAAGGGGATATTTGGCCCTCTCTGAGGATTTCGTTGGAAATGGGATCAACTTCCCATAAATGAACGGAAGCAAACTCAGAACATTCTTTGTGATGTTTGTATTCAACTCACAGAGTTGAACCTTCCTTTGATAGTTCAGGTTTGCAACACCCTTGTAGTAGAATCTGCAAGTATATATTTTGACCACTTTGTAGCCTTCGTTTGAAACGTCTATATCTTCACATCAAACCTAGACAGAAGCATTCTCAGAAAGTTTTCTGCGATGACTGCATTCAACTCACAGAGTTGAACAATCCTTCTGATGGAGCAGTTTTGAAACCCTCTTTCTTTGGAATCTGCAAGGGGATATGTGGACCTCTTTGAAGATTTCACTGGAAACGGGATGATCTTCACATAAGAACTAAACAGAAGCATTCTCGGAAACTACTTTGTGATGTTTGTATTCAACTCCCAGAGTTGAACTTTCCTTTTGAAAGAGCAGCTATGAAACACTCTTTTTCGAGAATCTGCAAGTGGACGTTTGGACGGCTTTGAGGCCTGTGGTGGAAAAGGAAATATCTTCACATAAAAACTAAATAGAAGCATTCTCAGAAACTACTTTGTGAGGATGGCATTCAACTCATGGAGTTGAACAATCCTATTGATAGAGCAGATTGGAATCACTCTTTTTGTAGAATCTGCAAATGGAGATTTGGACTGCTTTGAGGCCTACGGTCGTATAGGAAGGAACTTCATATAAAAGGCAAACGGAAGCATTCTCAGAATATTCTTTGTGATGATGGAGTTTCACTCACAGAGCTGAACATGCCTTTTGATGGAGCAGTTTCCAAATACACTTTTGGTAGAATCTGCAGGTGGATATTTGGAGCTCTCTGAGGATTTCGTTGGAAACGGGAATAATTTCCCATAACTAAACACAAACACTCTGAGAAAGTTCTTCATGATGAATGCATTTAACTCGCAGAGATGAACCTGCCTTTGAGAGTTCAGGTTCGAAACACTCTTTCTGTAGAATCTGCAAGTGGATATTTGGACCACTGGCTGGGTTCGTTCGAAACGGGTATATGTTCACGTAAAAACTAAAGAGAAGCATTCTCAGAAACTTCTGAGTGATGATTGCATTCAAGTCACACAGTTGAACCCTCCTTTTGATGGAGCAGTTTTGAAACTGTCTTTTTGTAGAATCTGTAAGTGGATACGTGGACCTCTTTGAAGATTTCTTTGGAAACGGGAATATTTCCACAGAAAAACTAAACTGAAGCATTCTCAGAAACCGCTTTGTGATGTTTGTGTTCGAGCCACAGAGTTTAACATTGCTTTTCATAGAGCAGTTTTGAAATATTCTTTTGGCAGAATCTGCAAGTGGACATTTGGAGCGCTTTCAGGCCTGTGGTGGAAAAGGCCTGAAAGCCTTTTCCTTTATCTTCACAGAAAGACGAGAGAGAAGCATTGTCAGAAACTTCTTTGTGATGATTGCATTCAACTCACAGAGTTGAAGATTCCTTTTGAAACAGCAGTTTCGAAACACTCTTTCTGTGGGATCCGCAAGGGGATATTTGGACCTCTTTGAAGGTTTCGTTGGAAACGGGATAATCTTCACCTAAAAGCTAAACGGAAGCATTCTCAGAAACTTCTTTGGGATGTTTGCATTCACCTCACAGAGTTGAACTTTCCCTTTGATAGCGCAGCTTTGACACACTGTTTCTACAATGTGCAAGTGGCTATTTAGCGGGCTTGGAGGACTGTGTTGGAAAAGGAAATATCTTCTCCTAAAAACGACATAGAAGCATTCTCAGAAACTGCTCTGTGATGATTGCATTCAACTCCCAGAGTTGAACATTCCTTTTGATAGAGCAGTTTGCAAACACTCTTTTTGTAGAATCTGCAAGTGGAGATTTGGACCGCTTTGAGGCCTGTGGTAGTGAAGGAAAGAACTTCATATAAAAACCAGACGGTAGCACTCTCAGAAAATTCTTTGTGACGATGGAGTTTAACTCAGGGAGCTGAACATTCGTTATGATGGAGCAGTTTCCAAACACACGTTTTGTAGAATCTGCAAGGGGATATTTGGACCTCTCTGAGGATTTCGTTGGAAACGGGATCAACTTCCCATAACTGAACGGAAGCAAACTCAGAACATTCTTTGTGATGTTTGTATTCAACTCACAGAGTTGAACCTTCCTTTGATAGTTCAGGTTTGCAACACCCTTGTAGTAGAATCTGCAAGTGTATATTTTGACCACTTTGTAGCCTTCGTTTGAAACGTCTATATCTTCACATCAAACCTAGAAAGAAGCATTCTCAGAAAGTTTTCTGCGATGACTGCATTCAACTCACAGAGTTGAACAATCCTTCTGATGGAGCAGTTTTGAAACCCTCTTTCTTTGGAATCTGCAAGGGGATATGTGGACCTCTTTGAAGATTTCACTGGAAACGGGATCATCTTCACATAAAAACTAAACAGAAGCATTCTCGGAAACTACTTTGTGATGTTTGTATTCAACTCCCAGAGTTGAACTTTCCTTTTGAAAGAGCAGCTATGAAACACTCTTTTTCGAGAATCTGCAAGTGGACGTTTGGAAGGCTTTGAGGCCTGTGGTGGAAAAGGAAATATCTTCACATAAAAACTAGATAGAAGCATTCTCAGAAACGACTTTGTGAGGATGGCATTCAACTCATGGAGTTGAACAATCCTATTGATAGAGCAGATTGGAATCACTCTTTTTGTAGAATCTGCAAATGGAGATTTGGACTGCTTTGAGGCCTACGGTAGTATAGGAAGGAACTTCATATAAAAGGCAAACGGAAGCATTCTCAGAATATTCTTTGTGATGATGGAGTTTCACTCACAGAGCTGAACATGCCTTTTGATGGAGCAGTTTCCAAATACACTTTTGGTAGAATCTGCAGGTGGATATTTGGACCTCTCTGAAGATTTCGTTGGAAACGGGAATAATTTCCCATACCTAAACACAAACACTCTGAGAAAGTTCTTCATGATGAATGCATTGAACTCGCAGAGATGAACCTGCCTTTGAGAGTTCAGGTTCGAAACACTCTTTCTGTAGAATCTGCAAGTGGATATTTGGACCACTGGGTGGCCTTCGTTCGAAACGGGTATATGTTCACGTAAAAACTAAAGAGAAGCATTCTCAGAAACTTCTGAGTGATGATTGCATTCAAGTCACACGGTTGAACCCTCCTTTTGATGGAGCAGTTTTGAAACTGTCTTTTTGTAGAATCTGTAAGTGGATACGTGGACCTCTTTGAAGATTTCTTTGGAAACGGGAATATTTCCACAGAAAAACTAAACTGAAGCATTCTCAGAAACTGCTTTGTGATGTTTGTGTTCGAGCCACAGAGTTTAACATTGCTTTTCATAGAGCAGTTTTGAAATATTCTTTTGGCAGAATCTGCAAGTGGACATTTGGAGCGCTTTCAGGCCTGTGGTGGAAAAGGCCTGAAAGCCTTTTCCTTTATCTTCACAGAAAGACGAGAGAGAAGCATTGTCAGAAACTTCTTTGTGATGATTGCATTCAACTCACAGAGTTGAAGATTCCTTTTGAAACAGCAGTTTCGAAACACTCTTTCTGTGGGATCCACAAGGGGATATTTGGACCTCTTTGAAGGTTTCGTTGGAAACGGGATAATCTTCACCTAAAAGCTAAACGGAAGCATTCTCAGAAACTTCTTTGGGATGTTTGCATTCACCTCACAGAGTTGAACTTTCCCTTTGATAGCGCAGCTTTGACACACTTTTTCTACAATGTGCAAGTGGCTATTTAGCGGGCTTGGAGGACTGTGTTGGAAAAGGAAATATCTTCTCCTAAAAACGACATAGAAGCATTCTCAGAAACTGCTCTGTGATGATTGCATTCAACTCCCAGAGTTGAACATTCCTTTTGATAGAGCAGTTTGCAAACACTCTTTTTGTAGAATCTGCAAGTGGAGATTTGGACCGCTTTGAGGCCTGTGGTAGTGAAGGAAAGAACTTCATATAAAAACCAGACGGTAGCACTCTCAGAAAATTCTTTGTGACGATGGAGTTTAACTCAGGGAGCTGAACATTCGTTATGATGGAGCAGTTTCCAAACACACGTTTTGTAGAATCTGCAAGGGGATATTTGGACCTCTCCTGAGGATTTCGTTGGAAACGGGATCAACTTCCCATAACTGAACGGAAGCAAACTCAGAACATTCTTTGTGATGTTTGTATTCAACTCACAGAGTTGAACCTTCCTTTGATAGTTCAGGTTTGCAACACCCTTGTAGTAGAATCTGCAAGTGTATATTTTGACCACTTTGTAGCCTTCGTTTGAAACGTCTATATCTTCACATCAAACCTAGACAGAAGCATTCTCAGAAAGTTTTCTGCGATGACTGCATTCAACTCACAGAGTTGAACAATCCTTCTGATGGAGCAGTTTTGAAACCCTCTTTCTTTGGAATCTGCAAGGGGATATGTGGACCTCTTTGAAGATTTCACTGGAAACGGGATCATCTTCACATAAAAACTAAACAGAAGCATTCTCGGAAACTACTTTGTGATGTTTGTATTCAACTCCCAGAGTTGAACTTTCCTTTTGAAAGAGCAGCTATGAAACACTCTTTTTCGAGAATCTGCAAGTGGACGTTTGGAGGGCTTTGAGGCCTGTGGTGGAAAAGGAAATATCTTCACATAAAAACTAGATAGAAGCATTCTCAGAAACGACTTTGTGAGGATGGCATTCAACTCATGGAGTTGAACAATCCTATTGATAGAGCAGATTGGAATCACTCTTTTTGTAGAATCTGAAAATGGAGATTTGGACTGCTTTGAGGCCTACGGTCGTATAGGAAGGAACTTCATATAAAAGGCAAACGGAAGCATTCTCAGAATATTCTTTGTGATGATGGAGTTTCACTCACAGAGCTGAACATGCCTTTTGATGGAGCAGTTTCCAAATACACTTTTGGTAGAATCTGCAGGTGGATATTTGGAGCTCTCTGAGGATTTCGTTGGAACCTGGAATAATTTCCCATAACTAAACACAAACACTCTGAGAAAGTTCTTCATGATGAATGCATTTAACTCGCAGAGATGAACCTGCCTTTGAGAGTTCAGGTTCGAAACACTCTTTCTGTAGAATCTGCAAGTGGATATTTGGACCACTGGCTGGCCTTCGTTCGAAACGGGTATATGTTCACGTAAAAACTAAAGAGAAGCATTCTCAGAAACTTGTGAGTGATGATTGCATTCAAGTCACACAGTTGAACCCTCCTTTTGATGGAGCAGTTTTGAAACTGTCTTTTTGTAGAATCTGTAAGTGGATACGTGGACCTCTTTGAAGATTTCTTTGGAAACGGGAATATTTCCACAGAAAAACTAAACTGAAGCATTCTCAGAAACCGCTTTGTGATGTTTGTGTTCGAGCCACAGAGTTTAACATTGCTTTTCATAGAGCAGTTTTGAAATATTCTTTTCGCAGAATCTGCAAGTGGACATTTGGAGCGCTTTCAGGCCTGTGGTGGAAAAGGCCTGAAAGCCTTTTCCTTTATCTTCACAGAAAGACGAGAGAGAAGCATTGTCAGAAACTTCTTTGTGATGATTGCATTCAACTCACAGAGTTGAAGATTCCTTTTGAAACAGCAGTTTCGAAACACTCTTTCTGTGGGATCCGCAAGGGGATATTTGGACCTCTTTGAAGGTTTCGTTGGAAACGGGATAATCTTCACCTAAAAGCTAAACGGAAGCATTCTCAGAAACTTCTTTGGGATGTTTGCATTCACCTCACAGAGTTGAACTTTCCCTTTGATAGCGCAGCTTTGACACACTTTTTCTACAATGTGCAAGTGGCTATTTAGCGGGCTTGGAGGACTGTGTTGGAAAAGGAAATATCTTCTCCTAAAAACGACATAGAAGCATTCTCAGAAACTGCTCTGTGATGATTGCATTCAACTCCCAGAGTTGAACATTCCTTTTGATAGAGCAGTTTGCAAACACTCTTTTTGTAGAATCTGCAAGTGGAGATTTGGACCGCTTTGAGGCCTGTGGTAGTGAAGGAAAGAACTTCATATAAAAACCAGACGGTAGCACTCTCAGAAAATTCTTTGTGACGATGGAGTTTAACTCAGGGAGCTGAACATTCGTTATGATGGAGCAGTTTCCAAACACATGTTTTGTAGAATCTGCGAGGGGATATTTGGACCTCTCTGAGGATTTCGTTGGAAACGGGATCAACTTCCCATAACTGAACGGAAGCAAACTCAGAACATTCTTTGTGATGTTTGTATTCAACTCACAGAGTTGAACCTTCCTTTGATAGTTCAGGTTTGCAACACCCTTGTAGTAGAATCTGCAAGTGTATATTTTGACCACTTTGTAGCCTTCGTTTGAAACGTCTATATCTTCACATCAAACCTAGAAAGAAGCATTCTCAGAAAGTTTTCTGCGATGACTGCATTCAACTCACAGAGTTGAACAATCCTTCTGATGGAGCAGTTTTGAAACCCTCTTTCTTTGGAATCTGCAAGG
Source organism: Homo sapiens (assembly GCF_000001405.40). Classification (NCBI taxonomy): domain Eukaryota; kingdom Metazoa; phylum Chordata; class Mammalia; order Primates; family Hominidae; genus Homo; species Homo sapiens. Next base: position 60,020,450 of record NC_000023.11, read on the forward strand.
GGATATGTGGACCTCTTTGAAGATTTCACTGGAAACGGGATCATCTTCACATAAAAACTAAACAGAAGCATTCTCGGAAACTACTTTGTGATGTTTGTATTCAACTCCCAGAGTTGAACTTTCCTTTTGAAAGAGCAGCTATGAAACACTCTTTTTCGAGAATCTGCAAGTGGACGTTTGGAGGGCTTTGAGGCCTGTGGTGGAAAAGGAAATATCTTCACATAAAAACTAGATAGAAGCATTCTCAGAAACGACTTTGTGAGGATGGCATTCAACTCATGGAGTTGAACAATCCTATTGATAGAGCAGATTGGAATCACTCTTTTTGTAGAATCTGCAAATGGAGATTTGGACTGCTTTGAGGCCTACGGTCGTATAGGAAGGAACTTCATATAAAAGGCAAACGGAAGCATTCTCAGAATATTCTTTGTGATGATGGAGTTTCACTCACAGAGCTGAACATGCCTTTTGATGGAGCAGTTTCCAAATACACTTTTGGTAGAATCTGCAGGTGGATATTTGGAGCTCTCTGAGGATTTCGTTGGAAACGGGAATAATTTCCCATAACTAAACACAAACACTCTGAGAAAGTTCTTCATGATGAATGCATTTAACTCGCAGAGATGAACCTTCCTTTGAGAGTTCAGGTTCGAAACACTCTTTCTGTAGAATCTGCAAGCGGATATTTGGACCACTGGGTGGCCTTCGTTCGAAACGGGTATATGTTCACGTAAAAACTAAAGAGAAGCATTCTCAGAAACTTCTGAGTGATGATTGCATTCAAGTCACACAGTTGAACCCTCCTTTTGATGGAGCAGTTTTGAAACTGTCTTTTTGTAGAATCTGTAAGTGGATACGTGGACCTCTTTGAAGATTTCTTTGGAAACGGGAATATTTCCACAGAAAAACTAAACTGAAGCATTCTCAGAAACCGCTTTGTGATGTTTGTGTTCGAGCCACAGAGTTTAACATTGCTTTTCATAGAGCAGTTTTGAAATATTCTTTTGGAGCGCTTTCAGGCCTGTGGTGGAAAAGGCCTGAAAGCCTTTTCCTTTATCTTCACAGAAAGACGAGAGAGAAGCATTGTCAGAAACTTCTTTGTGATGATTGCATTCAACTCACAGAGTTGAAGATTCCTTTTGAAACAGCAGTTTCGAAACACTCTTTCTGTGGGATCCGCAAGGGGATATTTGGACCTCTTTGAAGGTTTCGTTGGAAACGGGATAATCTTCACCTAAAAGCTAAACGGAAGCACTCTCAGAAACTTCTTTGGGATGTTTGCATTCACCTCTCAGAGTTGAACTTTCCCTTTGATAGCGCAGCTTTGACACACTTTTTCTACAATGTGCAAGTGGCTATTTAGCGGGCTTGGAGGACTGTGTTGGAAAAGGAAATATCTTCTCCTAAAAACGACATAGAAGCATTCTCAGAAACTGCTCTGTGATGATTGCATTCAACTCCCAGAGTTGAACATTCCTTTTGATAGAGCAGTTTGCAAACACTCTTTTTGTAGAATCTGCAAGTGGAGATTTGGACCGCTTTGAGGACTGGGGTAGTAAAGGAAAGAGCTTCATATAAAAAACAGACGGTAGCACTCTCAGAAAATTCTTTGTGACGATGGAGTTTAACTCAGGGAGCTGAACATTCGTTATGATGGAGCAGTTTCCAAACACACGTTTTGTAGAATCTGCAAGGGGATATTTGGACCTCTCTGAGGATTTCGTTGGAAACGGGATCAACTTCCCATAACTGAACGGAAGCAAACTCAGAACATTCTTTGTGATGTTTGTATTCAACTCCCAGAGTTGAAATTTCCTTTTGAAAGAGCAGCTATGAAACACTCTTTTTCGAGAATCTGCAAGTGGACGTTTGGAGGGCTTTGAGGCCTGTGGTGGAAAAGGAAATATCTTCACATAAAAACTAGATAGAAGCATTCTCAGAAACTACTTTGTGAGGATGGCATTCAACTCATGGAGTTGAACAATCCTATTGATAGAGCAGATTGGAATCACTCTTTTTGTAGAATCTGCAAATGGAGATTTGGACTGCTTTGAGGCCTACGGTAGTATAGGAAGGAACTTCATATAAAAGGCAAACGGAAGCATTCTCAGAATATTCTTTGTGATGATGGAGTTTCACTCACAGAGCTGAACATGCCTTTTGATGGAGCAGTTTCCAAATACACTTTTGGTAGAATCTGCAGGTGGATATTTGGAGCTCTCTGAGGATTTCGTTGGAAAAGGGAATAATTTCCCATAACTAAACACAAACACTCTGAGAAAGTTCTTCATGATGAATGCATTTAACTCGCAGAGATGAACCTGCCTTTGAGAGTTCAGGTTCGAAACACTCTTTCTGTAGAATCTGCAAGTGGATATTTGGACCACTGGCTGGCCTTCGTTCGAAACGGGTATATGTTCACGTAAAAACTAAAGAGAAGCATTCTCAGAAACTTCTGAGTGATGATTACATTCAAGTCACACAGTTGAACCCTCCTTTTGATTGAGCAGTTTTGAAACTGTCTTTTTGTAAAATCTGTAAGTGGATACGTGGACCTCTTTGAATATTTCTTTGGAAACGGGAATATTTCCACAGAAAAACTAAACTGAAGCATTCTCAGAAACTGCTATGTGATGTTTGTGTTCGAGCCACAGAGTTTAACATTGCTTTTCATAGAGCAGTTTTGAAATATTCTTTTGGCAGAATCTGCAAGTGGACATTTGGAGCGCTTTCAGGCCTGTGGTTGAAAAGGCCTGAAAGCCTTTTCCTTTATCTTCACAGAAAGACGAGAGAGAAGCATTGTCAGAAACTTCTTTGTGATGATTGCATTCAACTCACAGAGTTGAAGATTCCTTTTGAAACAGCAGTTTCGAAACACTCTTTCTGTGGGATCCGCAAGGGGATATTTGGACCTCTTTGAAGGTTTCGTTGGAAACGGGATAATCTTCACCTAAAAGCTAAACGGAAGCATTCTCAGAAACTTCTTTGGGATGTTTGCATTCACCTCACAGAGTTGAACTTTCCCTTTGATAGCGCAGCTTTGACACACTTTTTCTACAATGTGCAAGTGGCTATTTAGCGGGCTTGGAGGACTGTGTTGGAAAAGGAAATATCTTCTCCTAAAAACGACATAGAAGCATTCTCAGAAACTGCTCTGTGATGATTGCATTCAACTCCCAGAGTTGAACATTCCTTTTGATAGAGCAGTTTGCAAACACTCTTTTTGTAGAATCTGCAAGTGGAGATTTGGACCGCTTTGAGGCCTGTGGTAGTGAAGGAAAGAACTTCATATAAAAACCAGACGGTAGCACTCTCAGAAAATTCTTTGTGACGATGGAGTTTAACTCAGGGAGCTGAACATTCGTTATGATGGAGCAGTTTCCAAACACACGTTTTGTAGAATCTGCGAGGGGATATTTGGACCTCTCTGAGGATTTCGTTGGAAACGGGATCAACTTCCCATAACTGAACGGAAGCAAACTCAGAACATTCTTTGTGATGTTTGTATTCAACTCACAGAGTTGAACCTTCCTTTGATAGTTCAGGTTTGCAACACCCTTGTAGTAGAATCTGCAAGTGTATATTTTGACCACTTTGTAGCCTTCGTTTGAAACGTCTATATCTTCACATCAAACCTAGACAGAAGCATTCTCAGAAAGTTTTATGCGATGACTGCATTCAACTCACAGAGTTGAACAATCCTTCTGATGGAGCAGTTTTGAAACCCTCTTTCTTTGGAATCTGCAAGGGGATATGTGGACCTCTTTGAAGATTTCACTGGAAACGGGATCATCTTCACATAAAAACTAAACAGAAGCATTCTCGGAAACTACTTTGTGATGTTTGTATTCAACTCCCAGAGTTGAACTTTCCTTTTGAAAGAGCAGCTATGAAACACTCTTTTTCGAGAATCTGCAAGTGGACGTTTGGAGGGCTTTGAGGCCTGTGGTGGAAAAGGAAATATCTTCACATAAAAACTAGATAGAAGCATTCTCAGAAACGACTTTGTGAGGATGGCATTCAACTCATGGAGTTGAACAATCCTATTGATAGAGCAGATTGGAATCACTGTTTTTGTAGAATCTGCAAATGGAGATTTGGACTGCTTTGAGGCCTACGGTCGTATAGGAAGGAACTTCATATAAAAGGCAAACGGAAGCATTCTCAGAATATTCTTTGTGATGATGGAGTTTCACTCACAGAGCTGAACATGCCTTTTGATGGAGCAGTTTCCAAATACACTTTTGGTAGAATCTGCAGGTGGATATTTGGAGCTCTCTGAGGATTTCGTTGGAAACGGGAATAATTTCCCATAACTAAACACAAACACTCTGAGAAAGTTCTTCATGATGAATGCATTTAACTCGCAGAGATGAACCTGCCTTTGAGAGTTCAGGTTCGAAACACTCTTTCTGTATAATCTGCAAGTGGATATTTGGACCACTGGGTGGCCTTCGTTCGAAACGGGTATATGTTCACGTAAAAACTAAAGAGAAGCATTCTCAGAAACTTCTGAGTGATGATTGCATTCAAGTCACACGGTTGAACCCTCCTTTTGATGGAGCAGTTTTGAAACTGTCTTTTTGTAGAATCTGTAAGTGGATGCGTGGACCTCTTTGAAGATTTCTTTGGAAACGGGAATATTTCCACAGAAAAACTAAACTGAAGCATTCTCAGAAACCGCTTTGTGATGTTTGTGTTCGAGCCGCAGAGTTTAACATTGCTTTTCATAGAGCAGTTTTGAAATATTCTTTTCGCAGAATCTGCAAGTGGACATTTGGAGCGCTTTCAGGCCTGTGGTGGAAAAGGCCTGAAAGCCTTTTCCTTTATCTTCACAGAAAGACGAGAGAGAAGCATTGTCAGAAACTTCTTTGTGATGATTGCATTCAACTCACAGAGTTGAAGATTCCTTTTGAAACAGCAGTTTCGAAACACTCTTTCTGTGGGATCCGCAAGGGGATATTTGGACCTCTTTGAAGGTTTCGTTGGAAACGGGATAATCTTCACCTAAAAGCTAAACGGAAGCATTCTCAGAAACTTCTTTGGGATGTTTGCATTCACCTCACAGAGTTGAACTTTCCCTTTGATAGCGCAGCTTTGACACACTTTTTCTACAATGTGCAAGTGGCTATTTAGCGGGCTTGGAGGACTGTGTTGGAAAAGGAAATATCTTCTCCTAAAAACGACATAGAAGCATTCTCAGAAACTGCTCTGTGATGATTGCATTCAACTCCCAGAGTTGAACATTCCTTTTGATAGAGCAGTTTGCAAACACTCTTTTTGTAGAATCTGCAAGTGGAGATTTGGACCGCTTTGAGGCCTGTGGTAGTGAAGGAAAGAACTTCATATAAAAACCAGACGGTAGCACTCTCAGAAAATTCTTTGTGACGATGGAGTTTAACTCAGGGAGCTGAACATTCGTTATGATGGAGCAGTTTCCAAACACACGTTTTGTAGAATCTGCAAGGGGATATTTGGACCTCTCTGAGGATTTCGTTGGAAACGGGATCAACTTCCCATAACTGAACGGAAGCAAACTCAGAACATTCTTTGTGATGTTTGTATTCAACTCACAGAGTTGAACCTTCCTTTGATAGTTCAGGTTTGCAACACCCTTGTAGTAGAATCTGCAAGTGTATATTTTGACCACTTTGTAGCCTTCGTTTGAAACGTCTATATCTTCACATCAAACCTAGACAGAAGCATTCTCAGAAAGTTTTCTGCGATGACTGCATTCAACTCACAGAGTTGAACAATCCTTCTGATGGAGCAGTTTTGAAACCCTCTTTCTTTGCAATCTGCAAGGGGATATGTGGACCTCTTTGAAGATTTCACTGGAAACGGGATCATCTTCACATAAAAACTAAACAGAAGCATTCTCGGAAACTACTTTGTGATGTTTGTATTCAACTACCAGAGTTGAACTTTCCTTTTGAAAGAGCAGCTATGAAACACTCTTTTTCGAGAATCTGCAAGTGGACGTTTGGAGGGCTTTGAGGCCTGTGGTGGAAAAGGAAATATCTTCACATAAAAACTAGATAGAAGCATTCTCAGAAACTACTTTGTGAGGATGGCATTCAACTCATGGAGTTGAACAATCCTATTGATAGAGCAGATTGGAATCACTCTTTTTGTAGAATCTGCAAATGGAGATTTGGACTGCTTTGAGGCCTACGGTCGTATAGGAAGGAACTTCATATAAAAGGCAAACGGAAGCATTCTCAGAATATTCTTTGTGATGATGGAGTTTCACTCACAGAGCTGAACATGCCTTTTGATGGAGCAGTTTCCAAATACACTTTTGGTAGAATCTGCAGGTGGATATTTGGAGCTCTCTGAGGATTTCGTTGGAAACGGGAATAATTTCCCATAACTAAACACAAAACACTCTGAGAAAGTTCTTCATTTAGAATGCATTGAACTCGCAGAGATGAACCTGCCTTTGAGAGTTCAGGTTCGAAACACTCTTTCTGTAGAATCTGCAAGTGGATATTTGGACCACTGGCTGGCCTTCGTTCGAAACGGGTATATGTTCACGTAAAAACTAAAGAGAAGCATTCTCAGAAACTTCTGAGTGATGATTGCATTCAAGTCACACGGTTGAACCCTCCTTTTGATTGAGCAGTTTTGAAACTGTCTTTTTGTAGAATCTGTAAGTGGATACGTGGACCTCTTTGAAGATTTCTTTGGAAACGGGAATATTTCCACAGAAAAACTAAACTGAAGCACTCTCAGAAACTGCTTTGTGATGTTTGTGTTCGAGCCACAGATTTTAACATTGCTTTTCATAGAGCAGTTTTGAAATATTCTTTTGGCAGAATCTGCAAGTGGACATTTGGAGCGCTTTCAGGCCTGTGGTGGAAAAGGCCTGAAAGCCTTTTCCTTTATCTTCACAGAAAGACGAGAGAGAAGCATTGTCAGAAACTTCTTTGTGATGATTGCATTCAACTCACAGAGTTGAAGATTCCTTTTGAAACAGCAGTTTCGAAACACTCTTTCTGTGGGATCCGCAAGGGGATATTTGGACCTCTTTGAAGATTTCGTTGGAAACGGGATAATCTTCACCTAAAAGCTAAACGGAAGCATTCTCAGAAACTTCTTTGGGATGTTTGCATTCACCTCACAGAGTTGAACTTTCCCTTTGATAGCGCAGCTTCGACACACTTTTTCTACAATGTGCAAGTGGATATTTAGCGGGCTTGGAGGACTGTGTTGGAATAGGAAATATCTTCTCCTAAAAACGACATAGAAGCATTCTCAGAAACTGCTCTGTGATGATTGCATTCAACTCCCAGAGTTGAACATTCCTTTTGATAGAGCAGTTTGCAAACACTTTTTTGTAGAATCTGCAAGTGGAGATTTGGACTGCTTTGAGGCCTGTGGTAGTAAAGGAAAGAACTTCATATAAAAACTAGACGGTAGCACCCTCAGAAAATTCTTTGTGACGATGGAGTTTAACTCAGAGAGCTGAACATTCGTTATGATGGAGCAGTTTCCAAACACACGTTTTGTAGAATCTGCAAGGGGATATTTGGACCTCTCTGAGGATTTCGTTGGAAACGGGATCAACTTCCCATAACTGAACGGAAGCAAACTCAGAACATTCTTTGTGATGTTTGTATTCAACTCACAGAGTTGAACCTTCCTTTGATAGTTCAGGTTTGCATCACCCTTGTAGTAGAATCTGCAAGTGTATATTTTGAACACTTTGTAGCCTTCGTTTGAAACGTCTATATCTTCACATCAAACCTAGACAGAAGCATTCTCAGAAAGTTTTCTGCGATGACTGCATTCCACTCACAGAGTTGAACAATCCTTTTGATGGAGCAGTTTTGAAACCCTCTTTCTTTGGAATCTGCAAGGGGATATGTGGACCTCTTTGAAGATTTCACTGGAAACGGGATCATCTTCACATAAGAACTAAACAGAAGCATTCTCGGAAACTACTTTGTGATGTTTGTATTCAACTACCAGAGGTGAACTTTCCTTTTGAAAGAGCAGCTATGAAACACTCTTTTTCGAGAATCTGCAAGTGGACGTTTGGAGGGCTTTGAGGCCTGTGGTGGAAAAGGAAATATCTTCACATAAAAACTAGATAGAAGCATTCTCAGAAACTACTTTGTGAGGATGGCATTCAACTCATGGAGTTGAACAATCCTATTGATAGAGCAGATTGGAATCACTCTTTTTGTAGAATCTGCAAATGGAGATTTGGACTGCTTTGAGGCCTACGGTCGTATAGGAAGGAACTTCATATAAAAGGCAAACGGAAGCATTCTCAGAATATTCTTTGTGATGATGGAGTTTCACTCACAGAGCTGAACATGCCTTTTGATGGAGCAGTTTCCAAATACACTTTTGGTAGAATCTGCAGGTGGATATTTGGACCTCTCTGAGGATTTCGTTGGAAACGGGAATAATTTCCCATAACTAAACACAAACACTCTGAGAAAGTTCTTCATGATGAATGCATTTAACTCGCAGAGATGAACCTGCCTTTGAGAGTTCAGGTTCGAAACACTCTTTCTGTAGAATCTGCAAGTGGATATTTGGACCACTGGGTGGCCTTCGTTCGAAACGGTATATGTTCACGTAAAAACTAAAGAGAAGCATTCTCAGAAACTTCTGAGTGATGATTGCATTCAAGTCACACAGTTGAACCCTCCTTTTGATGGAGCAGTTTTGAAACTGTCTTTTTGTAGAATCTGTAAGTGGATACGTGGACCTCTTTGAAGATTTCTTTGGAAACGGGAATATTTCCACAGAAAAACTAAACTGAAGCATTCTCAGAAACTGCTTTGTGATGTTTGTGTTCGAGCCACAGAGTTTAACATTGCTTTTCATAGAGCAGTTTTGAAATATTCTTTTGGCAGAATCTGCAAGTGGACTTTTGGAGCGCTTTCAGGCCTGTGGTGGAAAAGGCCTGAAAGCCTTTTCCTTTATCTTCACAGAAAGACGAGAGAGAAGCATTGTCAGAAACTTCTTTGGGATGATTGCATTCAACTCACAGAGTTGAAGATTCCTTTTGAAACAGCAGTTTCGAAACACTCTTTCTGTGGGATCCGCAAGGGGATATTTGGACCTCTTTGAAGGTTTCGTTGGAAACGGGATAATCTTCACCTAAAAGCTAAACGGAAGCATTCTCAGAAACTTCTTTGGGATGTTTGCATTCACCTCACACAGTTGAACTTTCCCTTTGATAGCGCAGCTTTGACACACTTTTTCTACAATGTGCAAGTGGCTATTTAGCGGGCTTGGAGGACTGTGTTGGAAAAGGAAATATCTTCTCCTAAAAACGACATAGAAGCATTCTCAGAAACTGCTCTGTGATGATTGCATTCAACTCCCAGAGTTGAACATTCCTTTTGATAGAGCAGTTTGCAAACACTCTTTTTGTAGAATCTGCAAGTGGAGATTTGGACCGCTTTGAGGCCTGTGGTAGTGAAGGAAAGAGCTTCATATAAAAACCAGACGGTAGCACTCTCAGAAAATTCTTTGTGACGATGGAGTTTAACTCAGGGAGCTGAACATTCGTTATGATGGAGCAGTTTCCAAACACACGTTTTGTAGAATCTGCGAGGGGATATTTGGACCTCTCTGAGGATTTCGTTGGAAACGGGATCAACTTCCCATAACTGAACGGAAGCAAACTCAGAACATTCTTTGTGATGTTTGTATTCAACTCACAGAGTTGAACCTTCCTTTGATAGTTCAGGTTTGCAACACCCTTGTAGTAGAATCTGCAAGTGTATATTTTGACCACTTTGTAGCCTTCGTTTGAAACGTCTATATCTTCACATCAAACCTAGACAGAAGCATTCTCAGAAAGTTTTCTGCGATGACTGCATTCAACTCACAGAGTTGAACAATCCTTCTGATGGAGCAGTTTTGAAACCCTCTTTCTTTGGAATCTGCAAGGGGATATGTGGACCTCTTTGAAGATTTCACTGGAAACGGGATCATCTTCACATAAAAACTAAACAGAAGCATTCTCGGAAACTACTTTGTGATGTTTGTATTCAACTCCCAGAGTTGAACTTTCCTTTTGAAAGAGCAGCTATGAAACACTCTTTTTCGAGAATCTGCAAGTGGACGTTTGGAGGGCTTTGAGGCCTGTGGTGGAAAAGGAAATATCTTCACACAAAAACCAGATAGAAGCATTCTCAGAAACTACTTTGTGAGGATGGCATTCAACTCATGGAATTGAACAATCCTATTGATAGAGCAGATTGGAATCACTCTTTTCATAGAATCTGCAAATGGAGATTTGGACTGCTTTGAGGCCTACGGTAGTACAGGAAGGAACTTCATATAAAAGGCAAACGGAAGCATTCTCAGAATATTCTTTGTGATGATGGAGTTTCACTCACAGAGGTGAACATGCCTTTTGATGGAGCAGTTTCCAAATACACTTTTGGTAGAATCTGCAGGTGGATATTTGGAGCTCTCTGAGGATTTCGTTGGAAACGGGAATAATTTCCCATAACTAAACACAAACACTCTGAGAAAGTTCTTCATGATGAATGCATTTAACTCGCAGAGATGAACCTGCCTTTGAGAGTTCAGGTTCGAAACACTCTTTCTGTAGAATCTGCAAGTGGATATTTGGACCACTGGGTGGCCTTCGTTCGAAACGGGTATATGTTCACGTAAAAACTAAAGAGAAGCATTCTCAGAAACTTCTGAGTGATGATTGCATTCAAGTCACACAGTTGAACCCTCCTTTTGATGGAGCAGTTTTGAAACTGTCTTTTTGTAGAATCTGTAAGTGGATACGTGGACCTCTTTGAAGATTTCTTTGGAAACGGGAATATTTCCACAGAAAAACTAAACTGAAACATTCTCAGAAACCGCTTTGTGATGTTTGTGTTCCAGCCACAGAGTTTAACATTGCTTTTCATAGAGCAGTTTTGAAATATTCTTTTGGCAGAATCTGCAAGTGGACATTTGGAGCGCTTTCAGGCCTGTGGTGGCAAAGGCCTGAAAGCCTTTTCCTTTATCTTCACAGAAAGACGAGAGAGAAGCATTGTCAGAAACTTCTTTGTGATGATTGCATTCAACTCACAGAGTTGAAGATTCCTTTTGAAACAGCAGTTTCGAAACACTCTTTCTGTGGGATCCGCAAGGGGATATTTGGACCTCTTTGAAGGTTTCGTTGGAAACGGGATAATCTTCACCTAAAAGCTAAACGGAAGCATTCTCAGAAACTTCTTTGGGATGTTTGCATTCACCTCACAGAGTTGAACTTTCCCTTTGATAGCGCAGCTTTGACACACTTTTTCTACAATGTGCAAGTGGCTATTTAGCGGGCTTGGAGGATTGTGTTGGAAAAGGAAATATCTTCTCCTAAAAACGACATAGAAGCATTCTCAGAAACTGCTCTGTGATGATTGCATTCAACTCCCAGAGTTGAACATTCCTTTTGATAGAGCAGTTTGCAAACACTCTTTTTGTACAATCTGCAAGTGGAGATTTGGACCGCTTTGAGGCCTGTGGTAGTGAAGGAAAGAACTTCATATAAAAACCAGACGGTAGCACTCTCAGAAAATCCTTTGTGACGATGGAGTTTAATTCAGAGAGCTGAACATTCGTTATGATGGAGCAGTTTCCAAACACACGTTTTGTAGAATCTGCAAGGGGATATTTGGACCTCTCTGAGGATTTCGTTGGAAAAGGGATCAACTTCCCATAACTGAACGGAAGCAAACTCAGAACATTCTTTGTGATGTTTCTATTCAACTCACAGAGTTGAACCTTCCTTTGATAGTTCAGGTTGGCAACACCCTTGTAGTAGAATCTGCAAGTGAATATTTTGACCACTTTGTAGCCTTCGTTTGAAACGTCTATATCTTCACATCAAACCTAGACAGAATCATTCTCAGAACGTTTTCTGCGATGACTGCATTCAACTCACAGATTTGAGCAATCCTTTTGATGGAGCAGTCTTGAAACCCTCTTTCTTTGGAATCTGCAAGGGGATATGTGGACTTCTTTGAAGATTTCACTGGAAATGGGATCATCTTCACATAAAAACTAAACAGAAGCATTCTCCGAAACTACTTTGTGAGGTTTGTATTCAACTCCCAGAGTTGAACTTTCCTTTTGAAAGAGTAGCTATGAAACACTCTTTTTCGAGAATCTGCAAGTGGACGTTTGGAGGGCTTTGAGGCCTGTGGTGGAAAAGGAAATATCTTCACATAAAAACTAGATAGAAGCATTCTCAGAAACTACTTTGTGAGGATGGCATTCAACTCATGGAGTTGAACAATCCTATTGATAGAGCAGATTGGAATCACTCTTTTTGTAGAATCTGCAAATGGAGATTTGGACTGCTTTGAGGCCTACGGTAGTATAGGAAGGAACTTCATATAAAAGGCAAACGGAAGCATTCTCAGAATATTCTTTGTGATGATGGAGTTTCACTCACAGAGCTGAACATGCCTTTTGATGGAGCAGTTTCCAAATACACTTTTGGTAGAATCTGCCGGTGGATATTTGGACCTCTCTGAGGATTTCGTTGGAAACGGGAATAATTTCCCATAACTAAACACAAACACTCTGAGAAAGTTCTTCATGATGAATGCATTGAACTCGCAGAGATGAACCTGCCTTTGAGAGTTCAGGTTCGAAACACTCTTTCTGTAGAATCTGCAAGTGGATATTTGGACCACTGGGTGGCCTTCGTTCGAAACGGGTATATGTTCACGTAAAAACTAAAGAGAAGCATTCTCAGAAACTTCTGAGTGATGATTGCATTCAAGTCACACGGTTGAACCCTCCTTTTGATTGAGCAGTTTTGAAACTGTCTTTTTGTAGAATCTGTAAGCGGGTACGTGGACCTCTTTGAAGATTTCTTTGGAAACGGGAATATTTCCACAGAAAAACTAAACTGAAGCATTCTCAGAAACTGCTTTGTGATGTTTGTGTTCGAGCCGCAGAGTTTAACATTGCTTTTCATAGAGCAGTTTTGAAATATTCTTTTGGCAGAATCTGCAAGTGGACATTTGGAGCGCTTTCAGGCCTGTGGTGGAAAAGGCCTGAAAGCCTTTTCCTTTATCTTCACAGAAAGACGAGAGAGAAGCATTGTCAGAAACTTCTTTGTGATGATTGCATTCAACTCACAGAGTTGAAGATTCCTTTTGAAACAGCAGTTTCGAAACACTCTTTCTGTGGGATCCGCAAGGGGATATTTGGACCTCTTTGAAGTTTTCGTTGGAAACGGGATAATCTTCACCTAAAAGCTAAACGGAAGCATTCTCAGAAACTTCTTTGGGATGTTTGCATTCACCTCACAGAGTTGAACTTTCCCTTTGATAGCGCAGCTTCGACACACTTTTTCTACAATGTGCAAGTGGATATTTAGCGGGCTTGGAGGACTGTGTTGGAAAAGGAAATATCTTCTCCTAAAAACGACATAGAAGCATTCTCAGAAACTGCTCTGTGATGATTGCATTCAACTCCCAGAGTTGAACATTCCTTTTGATAGAGCAGTTTGCAAACACTGTTTTTGTAGAATCTGCAAGTGGAGATTTGGACCGCTTTGAGGCCTGTGGTAGTAAAGGAAAGAACTTCATATAAAAACCAGACGGTAGCACTCTCAGAAAATTCTTTGTGACGATGGAGTTTAACTCAGAGAGCTGAACATTCGTTATGATGGAGCAGTTTCCAAACACACGTTTTGTAGAATCTGCAAGGGGATATTTGGACCTCTCTGAGGATTTCGTTGGAAACGGGATCAACTTCCCATAACTGAACGGAAGCAAACTCAGAACATTCTTTGTGATGTTTGTATTCAACTCACAGAGTTGAAACTTCCTTTGATAGTTGAAGTTTGCAACACCCTTGTAGTAGAATCTGCAAGTGTATATTTTGACCACTTTGTAGCCTTCGTTTGAAACGTCTATATCTTCACCTCAAACCTAGACAGAAGCATTCTCAGAAAGTTTTCTGCGATGACTGCATTCAACTCACAGAGTTGAACAATCCTTTTGATGGAGCAGTTTTGAAACCCTCTTTCTTTGGAATCTGCAAGGGGATATGTGGACCTCTTTGAAGATTTCACTGGAAACGGGATCATCTTCACATAAGAACTAAACAGAAGCATTCTCGGAAACTACTTTGTGATGTTTGTATTCAACTCCCAGGAGTTGAACTTTCCTTTTGAAAGAGCAGCTATGAAACACTCTTTTTCGAGAATCTACAAGTGGACGTTTGGAGGGCTTTGAGGCCTGTGGTGGAAAAGGAAATATCTTCACATAAAAACTAGATAGAAGCATTCTCAGAAACGACTTTGTGAGGATGGCATTCAACTCATGGAGTTGAACAATCCTATTGATAGAGCAGATTGGAATCACTCTTTTTGTAGAATCTGCAAATGGAGATTTGGACTGCTTTGAGGCCTACGGTCGTATAGGAAGGAACTTCAGATAAAAGGCAAACGGAAGCATTCTCAGAATATTCTTTGTGATGATGGAGTTTCACTCACAGAGCTGAACATGCCTTTTGATGGAGCAGTTTCCAAATACACTTTTGGTAGAATCTGCAGGTGGATATTTGGACCACTCTGAGGATTTCGTTGGAAACGGGAATAATTTCCCATAACTAAGCACAAACACTCTGAGAAAGTTCTTCATGATGAATGCATTTAACTTGCAGAGATGAACCTGCCTTTGAGAGTTCAGGTTCGAAACACTCTTTCTGTATAATCTGCAAGTGGATATTTGGACCACTGGGTGGCCTTCGTTCGAAACGGGTATATGTTCACGTAAAAACTAAAGAGAAGCATTCTCAGAAACTTCTGAGTGATGATTGCATTCAAGTCACACAGTTGAACCCTCCTTTTGATGGAGCAGTTTTGAAACTGTCTTTTTGTAGAATCTGTAAGTGGATACGTGGACCTCTTTGAAGATTTCTTTGGAAACGGGAATATTTCCACAGAAAAACTAAACTGAAACATTCTCAGAAACCGCTTTGTGATGTTTGTGTTCCAGCCACAGAGTTTAACATTGCTTTTCATAGAGCAGTTTTGAAATATTCTTTTGGCAGAATCTGCAAGTGGACATTTGGAGCGCTTTCAGGCCTGTGGTGGAAAAGGCCTGAAAGCCTTTTCCTTTATCTTCACAGAAAGACGAGAGAGAAGCATTGTCAGAAACTTCTTTGTGATGATTGCATTCAACTCACAGAGTTGAAGATTCCTTTTGAAACAGCAGTTTCGAAACACTCTTTCTGTGGGATCCGCAAGGGGATATTTGGACCTCTTTGAAGGTTTCGTTGGAAACGGGATAATCTTCACCTAAAAGCTAAACGGAAGCATTCTCAGAAACTTCTTTGGGATGTTTGCATTCACCTCACAGAGTTGAACTTTCCCTTTGATAGCGCAGCTTTGACACACGTTTTCTACAATGTGCAAGTGGCTATTTAGCGGGCTTGGAGGACTGTGTTGGAAAAGGAAATATCTTCTCCTAAAAACGACATAGAAGCATTCTCAGAAACTGCTCTGTGATGATTGCATTCAACTCCCAGAGTTGAACATTCCTTTTGATAGAGCAGTTTGCAAACACTCTTTTTGTAGAATCTGCAAGTGGAGATTTGGACCGCTTTGAGGCCTGTGGTAGTGAAGGAAAGAGCTTCATATAAAAACCAGACGGTAGCACTCTCAGAAAATTCTTTGTGACGATGGAGTTTAACTCAGGGAGCTGAACATTCGTTATGATGGAGCAGTTTCCAAACACACGTTTTGTAGAATCTGCAAGGGGATATTTGGACCTCTCTGAGGATTTCGTTGGAAACGGGATCAACTTCCCATAACTGAACGGAAGCAAACTCAGAACATTCTTGGTGATGTTTGTATTCAACTTACAGAGTTGAACCTTCCTTTGATAGTTCAGGTTTGCAACACCCTTGTAGTAGAATCTGCAAGTGTATATTTTGACCACTTTGTAGCCTTCGTTTGAAACGTCTATATCTTCACATCAAACCTAGACAGACGCATTCTCAGAAAGTTTTCTGCGATGACTGCATTCAACTCACAGAGTTGAACAATCCTTTTGATGGAGCAGTTTTGAAACCCTCTTTCTTTGGAATCTGCAAGGGGATATGTGGACCTCTTTGAAGATTTCACTGGAAACGGGATCATCTTCACATAAGAACTAAACAGAAGCATTCTCGGAAACTACTTTGTGATGTTTGTATTCAACTCCCAGAGTTGAACTTTCCTTTTGAAAGAGCAGCTATGAAACACTCTTTTTCGAGAATCTGCAAGTGGACGTTTGGAGGGCTTTGAGGCCTGTGGTGGAAAAGGAAATATCTTCACATAAAAACTAGATAGAAGCATTCTCAGAAACTACTTTGTGAGGATGGCATTCAACTCATGGAGTTGAACAATCCTATTGATAGAGCAGATTGGAATCACTCTTTTTGTAGAATCTGCAAATGGAGATTTGGACTGCTTTGAGGCCTACGGTAGTATAGGAAGGAAGTTCATATAAAAGGCAAACGGAAGCATTCTCAGAATATTCTTTGTGATGATGGAGTTTCACTCACAGAGCTGAACATGCCTTTTGATGGAGCAGTTTCCAAATACACTTTTGGTAGAATCTGCAGGTGGATATTTGGAGCTCTCTGAGGATTTCGTTGGAAACGGGAATAATTTCCCATAACTAAACACAAACACTCTGAGAAAGTTCTTCATGATGAATGCATTTAACTCGCAGAGATGAACCTGCCTTTGAGAGTTCAGGTTCGAAACACTCTTTCTGTAGAATCTGCAAGTGGATATTTGGACCACTGGCTGGCCTTCGTTCGAAACGGGTATATGTTCACGTAAAAACTAAAGAGAAGCATTCTCAGAAACTTCTGAGTGATGATTGCATTCAAGTCACACAGTTGAACCCTCCTTTTGATGGAGCAGTTTTGAAACTGTCTTTTTGTAGAATCTGTAAGTGGATACGTGGACCTCTTTGAAGATTTCTTTGGAAACGGGAATATTTCCACAGAAAAACTAAACTGAAGCATTCTCAGAAACTGCTATGTGATGTTTGTGTTCGAGCCACAGAGTTTAACATTGCTTTTCATAGAGCAGTTTTGAAATATTCTTTTGGCAGAATCTGCAAGTGGACATTTGGAGCGCTTTCAGGCCTGTGGTTGAAAAGGCCTGAAAGCCTTTTCCTTTATCTTCACAGAAAGACGAGAGAGAAGCATTGTCAGAAACTTCTTTGTGATGATTGCATTCAACTCACAGAGTTGAAGATTCCTTTTGAAACAGCAGTTTCGAAACACTCTTTCTGTGGGATCCGCAAGGGGATATTTGGACCTCTTTGAAGGTTTCGTTGGAAACGGGATAATCTTCACCTAAAAGCTAAACGGAAGCATTCTCAGAAACTTCTTTGGGATGTTTGCATTCACCTCACAGAGTTGAACTTTCCCTTTGATAGCGCAGCTTTGACACACTTTTTCTACAATGTGCAAGTGGCTATTTAGCGGGCTTGGAGGACTGTGTTGGAAAAGGAAATATCTTCTCCTAAAAACGACATAGAAGCATTCTCAGAAACTGCTCTGTGATGATTGCATTCAACTCCCAGAGTTGAACATTCCTTTTGATAGAGCAGTTTGCAAACACTCTTTTTGTAGAATCTGCAAGTGGAGATTTGGACCGCTTTGAGGCCTGTGGTAGTGAAGGAAAGAACTTCATATAAAAACCAGACGGTAGCACTCTCAGAAAATTCTTTGTGACGATGGAGTTTAACTCAGGGAGCTGAACATTCTTTATGATGGAGCAGTTTCCAAACACACGTTTTGTAGAATCTGCGAGGGGATATTTGGACCTCTCTGAGGATTTCGTTGGAAACGGGATCAACTTCCCATAACTGAACGGAAGCAAACTCAGAACATTCTTTGTGATGTTTGTATTCAACTCACAGAGTTGAACCTTCCTTTGATAGTTCAGGTTTGCAACACCCTTGTAGTAGAATCTGCAAGTGTATATTTTGACCACTTTGTAGCCTTCGTTTGAAACGTCTATATCTTCACATCAAACCTAGACAGAAGCATTCTCAGAAAGTTTTCTGCGATGACTGCATTCAACTCACAGAGTTGAACAATCCTTCTGATGGAGCAGTTTTGAAACCCTCTTTCTTTGGAATCTGCAAGGGGATATGTGGACCTCTTTGAAGATTTCACTGGAAACGGGATCATCTTCACATAAAAACTAAACAGAAGCATTCTCGGAAACTACTTTGTGATGTTTGTATTCAACTCCCAGAGTTGAACTTTCCTTTTGAAAGAGCAGCTATGAAACACTCTTTTTCGAGAATCTGCAAGTGGACGTTTGGAGGGCTTTGAGGCCTGTGGTGGAAAAGGAAATATCTTCACATAAAAACTAGATAGAAG
Source organism: Homo sapiens (assembly GCF_000001405.40). Lineage (NCBI taxonomy): Eukaryota > Metazoa > Chordata > Mammalia > Primates > Hominidae > Homo > Homo sapiens. Next base: position 60,038,837 of record NC_000023.11, read on the forward strand.
CATTCTCAGAAACGACTTTGTGAGGATGGCATTCAACTCATGGAGTTGAACAATCCTATTGATAGAGCAGATTGGAATCACTCTTTTTGTAGAATCTGCAAATGGAGATTTGCACTGCTTTGAGGCCTACGGTCGTATAGGAAGGAACTTCATATAAAAGGCAAACGGAAGCATTCTCAGAATATTCTTTGTGATGATGGAGTTTCACTCACAGAGCTGAACATGCCTGTTGATGGAGCAGTTTCCAAATACACTTTTGGTAGAATCTGCAGGTGGACATTTGGACCTCTCTGAGGATTTCGTTGGGAACGGGAATAATTTCCCACAACTAAACACAAACACGCTGAGAAAGTTCTTCATGATGAATGCATTTAACTCGCAGAGATGAACCTGCCTTTGAGAGTTCAGGTTCGAAACACTCTTTCTGTAGAATCTGCAAGTGGACATTTGGACCACTGGGTGGCCTTCGTTCGAAACGGGTATATGTTCACGTAAAAACTAAAGAGAAGCATTCTCAGAAACTTCTGAGTGATGATTGCATTCAAGTCACACAGTTGAACCCTCCTTTTGATTGAGCAGTTTTGAAACTGTCTTTTTGTAGAATCTGTAAGTGGATACGTGGACCTCTTTGAAGATGTCTTTGGAAACGGGAATATTTCCACAGAAAAACTAAACTGAAGCATTCTCAGAGACCGCTTTGTGATGTTTGTTTTCGAGCCACAGAGTTTAACATTGCTTTTCATAGAGCAGTTTTGAAATATTCTTTTGGCAGAATCTGCAAGTGGACATTTGGAGCGCTTTCAGGCCTGTGGTGGCAAAGGCCTGAACGCCTTTTCCTTTATGTTCACAGAAAGACGAGAGAGAAGCATTGTCAGAAACTTCTTTGTGATGATTGCATTCAACTCACAGAGTTGAAGATTCCTTTTGAAACAGCAGTTTCGAAACACTCTTTCTGTGGGATCCGCAAGGGGATATTTGGACCTCTTTGAAGCTTTCGTTGGAAACGGGATAATCTTCACCTAAAAGCTAAACGGAAGCACTCTCAGAAACTTCTTTGGGATGTTTGCATTCACCTCACAGAGTTGAACTTTCCCTTTGATAGCGCAGCTTTGACACACTTTTTTTCTACAATGTGCAAGTGGATATTTAGCGGGCGTGGAGGACTGTGTTGGAAAAGGAAATATCTTCTCCTAAAAACGACATAGAAGCATTCTCAGAAACTGCTCTGTGATGATTGCATTCAACTCCCAGGGTTGAACATTCCTTTTGATAGAGCAGTTTGCAAACACTCTTTTTGTAGAATCTGCAAGTGGAGATTTGGACCGCTTTGAGGCCTATGGTAGTAAAGGAAAGAACTTCATATAAAAACCAGACGGTAGCACTCTCAGAAAATTCTTTGTGACGATGGAGTTTAACTCAGGGAGCTGAACATTCGTTATGATGGAGCAGTTTCCAAACACACGTTTTGTAGAATCTGCAAGGGGATATTTGGACCTCTCTGAGGATTTCGCTGGAAACGGGATCAACTGCCCATAACTGAACGGAAGCAAACTCAGAACATTCTTTGTGATGTTTGTATTCAACTCACAGAGTTGAACCTTCCTTTGATAGTTCAGGTTTGCAACACCCTTGTAGTAGAATCTGCAAGTGTATATTTTGACCACTTTGTAGCCTTCATTTGAAACGTCTATATCTTCACATCAAACCTAGACAGAAGCATTCTCAGAAAGTTTTCTGCGATGACTGCATTCAACTCACAGAGTTGAACAATCCTTCTGATGGAGCAGTTTTGAAACCCTCTTTCTTTGGAATCTGCAAGGGGATATGTGGACCTCTTTGAAGATTTCACTGGAAACGGGATCATCTTCACATAAAAACTAAACAGAAGCATTCTCGGAAACTACTTTGTGATGTTTGTATTCAACTGCCAGAGTTGAACTTTCCTTTTGAAAGAGCAGCTATGAAACACTCTTTTTCGAGAATCTGCAAGTGGACGTTTGGAGGGCTTTGAGGCCTGTGGTGGAAAAGGAAATATCTTCACATAAAAACTAGATAGAAGCATTCTCAGAAACGACTTTGTGAGGATGGCATTCAACTCATGGAGTTGAACAATCCTATTGATAGAGCAGATTGGAATCACTCTTTTTGTAGAATCTGCAAATGGAGATTTGGACTGCTTTGAGGCCTACGGTCGTATAGGAAGGAACTTCAGATAAAAGGCAAACGGAAGCATTCTCAGAATATTCTTTGTGATGATGGAGTTTCACTCACAGAGCTGAACATGCCTTTTGATGGAGCAGTTTCCAAATACACTTTTGGTAGAATCTGCAGGTGGATATTTGGACCACTCTGAGGATTTCGTTGGAAACGGGAATAATTTCCCATAACTAAGCACAAACACTCTGAGAAAGTTCTTCATGATGAATGCATTTAACTCGCAGAGATGAACCTGCCTTTGAGAGTTCAGGTTCGAAACACTCTTTCTGTATAATCTGCAAGTGGATATTTGGACCACTGGGTGGCCTTCGTTCGAAACGGGTATATGTTCACGTAAAAACTAAAGAGAAGCATTCTCAGAAACTTCTGAGTGATGATTGCATTCAAGTCACACAGTTGAACCCTCCTTTTGATGGAGCAGTTTTGAAACTGTCTTTTTGTAGAATCTGTAAGTGGATACGTGGACCTCTTTGAAGATTTCTTTGGAAACGGGAATATTTCCACAGAAAAACTAAACTGAAGCATTCTCAGAAACCGC